>NC_000002.12:205065375-205368405 GCF_000001405.40 Homo sapiens | reverse complement strand
CTGCCTCGGCCTCCCAAAGTGCTGGGATGAGAGGTGTGAGCCACCAAACCCGGCCTATTTTACAACTTTTTAAATCTGATAATATCAGATATTCATATATACTACAAACAACTGAGACTCAAAAAAGTTTCAAGTGGAAATACAAAATCCTTTGTCATTCTAACACCATATTTCCCACCAGTATTGGTATATCCTTTATTTTCTTAAAGATCCACCACTGGAATCATGCCATGGATATAGTATTGTATGCTATTTTGTCCCCCATTTAAAGTATTTCTTCAGGTAATTAAATGTTCTTCAAACTTTTGAATTTTAATAGCTCTGCTGCATTTCATCACACAGACGTATCACCCTTACTGTGGCAAATCCCAGAGTGTTGAACATTTAGGTTGCTTCCCCATTTTTGCTAACGTAAATAAATACCACAGTGAGTGACCATCCTTATTTACTTACAAATCATCACATAAAACTAAAACAATGGAATTGTTAAGGTTTGGGTATTAAAAGAATAAAAGGAGTAAAAGGGGAAAGGATCAGTAGACTTAACCACATAAACTCAAACACAGAAACTTAACCACATAAACTCAAACACAGAAAAGGCATCCCACAAAAATAAATAGCAGGACAACAAACTGGGAGAAACTCTGGGTTTCTTAAGAATCTTCTTGGCAAATCTTGGAACAAGCCCACTTACACTGGTGATTATGAGATTAGTTATCTGGAGGCCAAGGTGGTTTTGGCCTCTGAGATGTTTACTGATTGGCCATTTACTAATACTCCCAATCTTCTTGTTTATCATATGGCTAGAAAGAATCTTAAAAGATAATCCGATCCTCTGAGAACCTTTTAGGGCTGTCTGTTCTAAACCATTTTAGACAGATGGGAGTCCCTAGTGTTTTTTAAGGTCTCTAGATAAGCAGATTCCAAAACTTCTTTTGATAACCATTCCGGAGTTTAAGAATCTTACTGTCAGGAAATTCTTTCTTTTATCTAACTTAAATCCTGCATGCTTTAGTTTAAACCTATTTCCTTCCACTCCCTTTCCCTCACTTAAGAGGAGGATGGAGACCATCTGATCACCACCCTTCATAGCATGACTCTTCATATAAACAACACTAACAATGGATTATTGTATTTCTTCTTAGCTTTCTCTTCTCTGGACGAAATAAGGCTGGCATCTTCAATTTTGGAGATTGTATGTCCTAAATGATTAATTTACAAATCATTTAATCGTCCTCACTGCATTCTTTTGAAATGTCTTCAAATTTTACAAGTTTTAACACAGCTCCAATCATTCTTGAAGATGCAAGGCACTATTTGAAGGTATCAGTAGAAATTTTAGAGTGGAGGTCGTCTTTCTAGAAGCCACTGCTTTTACCAAGAAGAAACTTTAAAAGAGTTCAGACTCCTTGGTAGACAAAGATATTGGGGGCTGTTCAGCACAGGTTTTGTTTTTACAGCTTCCCAGACCTAAGTGTGATGATTCAGCTTCCGCTCCCTTAGGACATCTGTGGCAGCAACTAAAAGCTAGGCCCAGTTATTGCTGCTGACACCTGTGGCGGTACAGCATCACCAGTTATTAGTGGGAAGGCACATGGCCTGGAGGCCACCTAAAATGCCCCCAGGTGCAGAGATACAACTTCAAAGGTTGCAGAATTCAAATGCTTGGTGCCTGAGTGCCTGATATCTTGGCTGCTCTGTCCACTGAGGTTCAGTCACAGTTAAAGAAAAAAAAAAGTGTGAATTTAGGCTTGAGAGGAGACAGATTTGAGTGTCATCTGTATGCTGACAGGTAGCATGATAAGATAAAGCAATACCCTGCAAGTTAAGAGAGCTGTGTTCTGGCATTAGCTCTGTCCCTCAGTCACGATGTGACATTTCTATTCCTCTGGGTCCCCACATGTAAAATGCAGTGAATTACAGAATCTTTTAAACTCGTCAGAAAAAGACACTTCATAAATATAAGCTGCTGTAATAACCACTGAGAGAACAAAACATTAGGTTGTCATCGAATATAAGTAGGAAATTCTTTACCTCTGTCCATGTAAGCACTGCACAGCAAATTTGAGAGCTGAGTCAACACTTGATTATTAGTCTATTGAGGTTATTCAGGAAAAATTTAAAATTCTAACTCCTTCAAACAAAGCGCTATGGGCTGTCTCCACTTTCCATCAGTGTATGGGTGCTTATGGAATGTAAAGCTAATTTTAATGTTTCCTAAGTTGAATTAGGAAAGAAAAAAATTGGTTTAAAGTAACCCACAGAGCTCTAGCCAACATAAATATGGATAATGGATGGATGGATGAATGGATGGATAAACGGATGGATGGATGAGTGGGGGGATAGATGGGTGGGTGGGTAGATAGATAGGATAAATGGATAATCTTTTGCTTTGGCTGATTTTGTCACTGATTATCTTCAACAGGGTATAAGAGCTGACTGCTTTATGTGGTCATGTAACCTATACCCTTCTCCAAAATAATTGGAAAGATCCTATTTCCAACACTACTGAATTGGCACCCTGTGATTCACATGTGTGGCGATATAGGCAGTTGTCATTTTTCTTCAACAGAGTTTATTAATTTATTCATCTGAAGCCTATCTTAAATTCATCAGTGTGAATAATAAAAGGAAAGTAAGAAATGACTTGAGTCCCAACACGCTATGCTTGGAATGCCTTTCCTTCCATAAAGATAAATGCCAGCTGTTGTCTCCAACATGCCTGGGCACAAAGATTAAGTCCCCAAAGAAGATACATTTAATGGAAGCAAACTATTATTAAGATAAGGGTTTTTCTTTGTAAATAATCTCAGTGGTGTTTTCCCTTTCCTGTAGATTAGAAAAAAAAAAAAAAAAGGAAGGTTGGGTGGATATGGCCCTGATGTGACACTTGGAGGGCAGAGAGAAAGGGAAGACAGCAGGCCTGTGTCTGTAAACGGATTCGATGCTGTGTGTTTTGTGGCAGAAAGAACATCATGACCTGCCAGGCTACAGCAGATTTTCTTTTCTTTCTTTTTTTTTTTCTGAGACGGAGTCTCGCTCTGTTGCCCAGGCTGGAGGGCAGTGGTGCGATCTTGGGCAATCTTGGCTCACTGAAATGTCTGCCTCCTGGGTTCAAGCAATTCTCTGCTTCATCCTCCCAAGTAGCTAGGATTACAGGCGCCTGCCACCATACCATGCCCAGCTAATTTTTTTTTTTTTTTTTGACACGGAGTTTTACTCTTGTCTCCCAGGCTGGAGTACAATGGCACTATCTCAGCTCACTGCAACCTCCGCCTCTTAGGTTCAAACAATTCTCCTGCCTTAGCCTCCCAAGTAGCTGGGATTACAGGCGCCTGCCACCATGCCTGGCTAATTTTTGTATTTTTAGTAGAGACGGGGTTTCACCATCTTGCCCAGGCTGGTCTTGAACTCCTGACCTCGTGATCTACTCGCCTTGGCCTCTCAAAGTGCTGGGATTACAGGCGTGAGCCACCACACCCGGCTGTACAGCAGATTTTCTAAGAGAGGCCTTGGGGTAAAAAAGACTTAAAAACTACCAGTGGAGTGAGCAACCTTCCATGCTTCTTGAGAAATTATTACATGTGAGTAGGTATTGTAATTAAACTAATTGTAGGCCTCCATTATTGTAGTCACAGCCACTTGACATTCTTACCTAGCTGTTAAGTGTCTTTGTTACCAGAACCCATGTTAAGTGTTGTGGGAATTTGTGGCCCCTCTTGAGGCATCCACACACTTCATTTAAGCATACTCCAATTGTCAATAAAAATCACACCCTGCCTTGTAATACGATATTCAAGAGTTGTGAACAAAATGAATCTTAGAGATTTTTAAGAGGACTAATGCCTTGAGCTTCCACACAAATAAAAGATGGAGAGGATTAAAGCCTGGGAGATTACCAGCCCAGGCCAACCTTGCTTGGCAGGCTGGAACCTGAGAATGTGGCTGCATCAAAATGCAAAACAAATGCTGTTTGTCACCTGTAACAAGGAGGACTCAGATGTAATTTCTAGGCTTGAGTAATAGGGGACAAAGGAAACAGTACACTAGGGAATGCCATTTCTCTTATCTACGTCAAGACTAACAAAAAAGAGGAGGAGAATCCGAAAATGAGTGGTTCTCTAGGAAGTGCATATAGGAAGTCACTAAGCTATGGGACTTCAGAGTCTTGAAGCTCTGTTCCAAGTTTATTTAGCTTTGAACACGTCTAAGTGTTTTTACGCTTGGAATAAAGTCAATAGACAAATGCAAAATATGCTTCTTTATCCTGTTACTCTGGCATGGTTGATTACTTAGGGATCTCTAGGAATTCCTTATTTCAACTTCATTTTAGAACTGACAGATGCAGTCGCTGGGTCAATCCTCTGACCACCTGGCTTCTCAGGGTGCCTTCGCTGTGTTCACTACACATGGGAGATGGGAGGAAAAGAGGCTCCAGAGACTGGGTGCGGTGGTTCATGCCTGTAATCTTAGCACTTTGGGAGGCCGAGGCGGGTGGATCACTTGAGGTCAGGAGTTCAAGACCAGCCTGGCCAACATGGCGAAAAAAAAAAAAAAAAAAAAAAAAAAAAAAGTCAGTCAGGCGTTGTGGCGCATGCCTGTAGTCCCAGCTACTTAGAAGGCTGAGGCAGAAGAATTGCTTGAACCCGGGAGGCGGAGGTTGCAGTGAGCTGAGATTGTGCCACTGCATTCCAGCCTGGGCAACAGAGTGAGACTCCATCTCAAAAAGAAAAGAAAACAAAACAAAACAAAAACAGAGGCTCCAGAAAAGAAAGAGGCATGTGTTACTCCTCGGTTTTTCTCTGTGTGTTTTCCCAAGGGTGAGTTCTAATTTCTATGTCTGGTCTTATTCAATTATACCCCTTTGCCTTGCTTTCTTACTTGCAAGCAGATATTTATAACTCACATTTATTGAGGATTTACTCTGTGCTGGGCACTATACTAAATGCTTCGTATGTCTTAGTCAATTTGTTGACCTTTATCTTACTCTCTTTATTTGGTAGATCCTAGTGCATAAAGGGAACAGTCTTGGAAAACCTATGGATTTGGCGGGTAAGGCCCCTCTCCTCTCCACTGCTTACCCTCCTATGGCCTTTGGCTTCCTATCCAGGCATCCCACTGTGGTTGCTCTTCTGGGGACAGTTCTCAATTCTGGAAGTTTTGTGATACTCTGACTTCTGTTTGATTTTCCCTGGTTCTTAGTCTCTGGGGCCCCATCAGGGCTACAGCATAATGAGAGTTATGTTTTAGCTGTTGCTGATGGCTTCCTGTGCTTGATTTCGAAGAGAACACAGCATTTTAATACCGCCCTCCAGTGCCCTGCTGCAAGGGGAGAGGGGCCTGTGGGAACCTGAAGTCCCACAGCTTTGGCAAGGGGCAGAGAGCCTCCCTGACTCCCCCAGTCGCAGCACTTGGTGGAAGACTACTTCTCCCACATGGATCTACACGGAAGGTTGTTCTAGACCTTTCTAACGCTGTCATAAATGTGGTCCTTGGGAATTATAGCATTTTCTGAGAGAAGAGCTCCATCACCAAGAATATAATGTAGAGGTACAGTGGAAGAGCAGAAGTCAGGCAAGCCGGCTTCTAATTTCAGCACCCTGTAACTTTAGGCAGGCCATTAATCTGCCTCTGCCCTTCATTTTCTCATTGCCAAAATGCAATAATAATTCATTCTTACCAATCTCGCAGAATTTATGTCACATAAACTAGTAGTACAAGCTAATGAAGGTGACTGCTTTGACAAGTGGAAAGCAAGTATATAAGTGGAAGGTACTGATGTGATTAAGATTATAGGCCCTTGTTATGTCTGTTAGACTACCTAGGAGATTACACATTTCCAAATTCAGTTGGTATAGAAAAATAACAAAAGGGAGCTGGGGGCATTTTCATTTATGCCTCTCAAGATGCTCTCCAAGGAACAGAACACACATTCTTTGCCCTGCCTACTTCATTATTGTCTGTTTACCTGAACTAACAGCAGTGTGACTGATTGAGATGAGACACATAATGTTATTTAACTACAAATTTGTTGCAGAACCTATTGAACATGAAGTCAAAGTAAGCTATGATTGAACAACAGAAATAAATAGCTGTAAGTACAATGGAAACATGAAAATCAAAATAAAGCAGGCTATTATTTTGCTCTGACATTAATTGTATAATAATACCTATATTTAATGCTGTGACTCAATTTTGTATGTCAAGTCAGAAAAACAATTGATATAAAACATCTGAGTCAGCAGTGACTACTTTTCATTGTCACCAGCTTCTTTTAGCAAGAATCTTTGGGAATGAATTTTGATGCTGCAAACAAGCCCAGGGCTATAGGTTAGACAGTTACCTACAGCAAATGGGTTTGAATAGGTTCAGAAAAAGGTCTAGCTGTTTGAATCTAAAAAAAATATTACTCTAAAGATTACAATTCTTTGTCTTTCCAACTCTGAGACACTGAAGGAGCCAAAAAAATAGGGACTAATTTAAGATATAAGAAGATTGGCTCCACGCCTGGGGGTGGAGAAGATGAGTGGGGTAGAGGCAAATAAAAGGAACCAGAAAAAAAAATGTGTTTGGGAGGAGCTTGTTGGCCAGAGAGGACTTTAAAGAGGAGAGTAAAACGTAGCCAGATAAAAGTGTAAAACTGATCCTATGTGGCCAAGTGGTATGCACGGAGAAAAGCAAAATGGAAATTGCTTCCTAAACTCGGAAAAATTGTTGTCCTCTTAGTTAAGTGAGTAAAACCTACTGACACTGAATGAGATTAGTTACCTAAAGACGTTACCTTAAGGGGCAGGATAAAACCCTGGGTCTAGAAATTGAATCAAGGTGTGGCTAGAATGTAGGAAGATGGTTTAGGCTTAGGCAATGGTGTTGACAAATCTGAATAGAGAATGTGTTAGAAATGAGGTATTCTGCTCAGAGCTATAAAAGGGTGGGGTTAGAGAGAGGATTAGGCAAGAAGAATTCGTCAGTGTGTACTCAGCACTGTCCAGAAGAGTAGGGAGATCTGGGTGACAGTACAGCTTTTGCCTTGTTTGGAAGGTAAATTTATGTCTACTATGGGGTGATTCCAGAGGTATGGCATAATGACATTAGATTTTCCATCTACCATCTTCTCCGATTCCATGAGCTCCTGACCCTAAAATAAATGGCTTTCCAAATATACTGTCCTGCAGAGATGAATGTGCAGATACAAAAACCAAGTACCTGAGTCTGTTTGGCAGTTATCTGTCTCACTGTAAATTAATAAGTTGCACGCCCATTTGCTTTACGCATTAGTCTCCTCCAAGTTTTTTTTTCTTATCCTTATACCATTCCTCCAAATTACGTTCAACTCAACAAACATGGACAAAGTCAACTTTGTCAATCTGCAAAACGGAGCATGTGATCCTGGGTTGGGGCAGTGAAGAAGGGAGGGAAAGGAATGAGGAAGGCATATTAGACATATTAGAAAGGGAGAACTATCATGGATACTGACACAAGAAAAAAAAATAAAGACACCAATGAGACTGAGTGGAGAAAAGAAGAACTGCAATAGATTCATATATGCAGAAGAACTTGATAAATAACAAAAACAGTGCTTTCCGTGTGTCTGGGACATCTCATTTCCTCCTCCAAACAGCCCACTGAGACTTGGAGCACTGCTAAGCAGTAGTTAGCAGCTGCCACAAAGCTAGTGTGTCACAGACCTGGGATTCAGACCTGGGCAGTTCAGCCCCAGAGCCCATGCACCTGGCCATGACACGGTATGCCCCAACCCCAGGGCACTGCACTCCTCAGGGGAATGAATATGTTTTGTGATTGGTGTTGGAAAAATTTCCTCACTGTATTAAGAAAAAATAAAGCTGGCTTTCTATACCCTTCTATTACACAATAAACCAGAGTGGGATGTGAGTGGATTAAAGACCAAAATGTGAAAGGTAAGTCTATCAGCTCAGTAGAAGGAAATGTAGGAAAGTATTTTTTGTGACATAGAGGCGGAAAAAGATTTCTTAAGATCCTAAAAGCCCAAAGTATAACCACCTCTAATGAAAATAATATGATGTACTTGATTACTATAAAATGAAAGATCTCTGCTTTATGAGGTACACCACTGAAAAATCTGATTAAGACTGCAACTTGATAATGAAAAGGAAAAAAACAAAAGAAAAAACAAGAAATCCAACAAAAATGACAAATGATGTCAATAAAGAATTTACAGAATGAGATGCTATAAGAATTAACAACCATATAAAACGATGTCCAAACTCATTAGCAATGAGAGAAATTCATGTAAAAACACAATGAAATACAACTTGATATGCATTCAAATGACAAAAATCAGAAATGTAGACAATACCAAGTATTGATGGAGACCTTGGGAAATGAGAATGCTTGTGCATTGGTGATAGAAATAGATATCAATACTATGAATTTGAAATGCAAGCGGGAAAGATTAAAGAAAATTTAAAAAATGCATTTATCCTATTTTAGCTATTATTCTTTTCTGGCAGTAGTAAGGACAGAATGCATTTATTCTATGGCTCCCATGATTCCAAGCCAGAGAAATTTCCTCAGTTCCATTACAGGGCACGTATGAGGATGTTTCTTAGTGTCATTGTGCGGTAAAGGGTGCTTAGAAGCTAAGCAGATGTCCATATACATACTATATAATATGATTAAAGGATACAAAATTGTGTGAAAGAGATATTAAAAACAATGCTGAGTGGAAAAAAGAAAACAATGATATTTTGAGCACAATACCATTTCTGTGAATTACATATATCTACACAAAACAACTCTAATTATTTGTGGATATATCCCAAACACTTAAGTCACTACATGCAGAGGGTAAAAGGAGTATAGATTAAGGATTAAAGGGGAAAATCAAACAGGGAAAGAGTTTTGTATAGACAAATGACGATAGAGCCATGAACTGAGGATTACTGTTCACCCAACTCTTTGCACTCAGTCCAAAATAAAAGAGGAAACAAAAAGGAAAGCTTATGGTATGACTCTAATGGAAACAGATTACTGGCAACCTAGCCAGCCAGAGTACATGCATAAGATTTCCCTTATATATTTCATGTTATTATTGTGGAGACAAGATATAGTAGTATCTAGAGAAATTCAAGTGATTTTCCAAAGTTGTACTGTCCTAAAAGCAGAACAGATGAATTATTAACTTGCTGACAATTTAATCTTTCGAAAGTTGAAGAGACTAATGAGAGGAGCTATTACTCTGGACCAATAAAGCAAAGTTAAAGCGATGGAAACCTTGAGAGAATTGCTTGGTGTTTGTAAGAGTCAGGGAATGAAATTGCTGGGCAGCATAATTCCCAAACATTATAGATTTACTAATTATCACATTTTCAAGAGCTACCTTCAAAAATTCTGATTTCACAGGTCTAGGGAGGATCCAGAAATGTTTGCGAATTTAAAGCAAGCTGCGCCACAGACAACACTTCTCAAAAATGGAAGGGCACAAATTTCTACAAGTTCAGAGGAAAGAATGATACGGCCCCATGACCAGGGTCTAAGACAAGAAAGATGTCTTAAGGGGGAAGCAAGGCATTCAACAATAAAATTTTGATAATGATAAATGCTAAAAACTATACAGATGAGTTAAAATGCCACCGAGGTGGTAGGAATGTAAAGAATGGCATGTGGCTGATGAAACAGGAATTATTCAAAAGACGGGGGTGGGAAAGCACACCGTCTAAAACGAATGCAAGAGAGAACTGGGTAAGAATAGTGTCAGGAAGGGTTAAATCTGAGAATAAGCTCAAGCTTGAGAAAAATGCAGAGGACAATAAAAGGAATTGTTAGCGTATGTTTAGAGTGAAGGAAAAGAATGATTCACACGCCCCTTGGGGCAGATATTATAGTATTAGCAGATGACAGTAAGAGAGAACAAAAACTCAAGCATTCTGTTTGCTGCCATCTTCCCTATCAATGAGAATGATCTTCACACTAAGCCACAAAACAACAGATTAAGAAGCAACCGAAGCCTGAGAGAGGTGATAAAACTAAAAGGGAGCATCTAGCCGCTTTATGAGTTTGTGTCTCTAGGCCCAAATGAATCTTATCAGAGTTCACTGAAGGAACTCACAGATGTGACTGCAGAACTTCTGTGGGGATCTTTGAGTAATCCTAGAAGACATAAGAGATGCAGAAGATCCAGGCTAAGGTCTCAATTTTTAAAAGAGTAGCGGTGATTGGACAAGAAAGCACGTATACAGTTCTGAAAACAGCAAAATAGTGAATTTCAAGTTGCTGGATGAATACATAGATAATTTATGGAAACTCAGGAGACAAAAATTAAGAATGGGGTAATTTTAAGGGACCAAAAAGGGCTAAGAACAGCTTATGTGAAATTTACGTCCTTCTCATCTTTGAAAGATTCACCATATGAGGTGAGGAATGTCAGAATCTCTTTCAACAGTTCACCAGGTGATTCTGTGGTTCAGCCAGGCGTGGGGATGTTGACAAATGGTTATGGAGATCCCTCCAAAGCCAAAGATTCAATGACTGTGTGCTTTTTCAATGACATCACTGTATCTATGCCTTCTTATTTTATTGCTGTTTCTTCTGCTTTAATGTTATTGAGTACTTTCTAACATCTTTGGCAAAAGAGAAACATTAAGCCATAGTCTTTCTCTTAATCATTCTTCTAATAACCACTACAGATCTCATACTCTCCCTTCTCTGTTTGACTTCAGAGAAGTCTGCATAATTACAATCTATCACTATCACTTATTTTTTTTCTCATGAAACTCTCAAGTATTCTTCCATTTCCTGAGCTAAAACTTTCGTTCCAAAACTTCAGAATCTTTCATTTTGTGTACTTATTTTACTCTCCATTGGTATTTTTCTTTTTCTCTGGCATCATTGGCCCTGCTCAAATAATCTGGTTTCATTCATCTAAGCAAGTTCACCCACTTAATTACAAACACTTCTGCACCCATGTCGACTGTTTCTCTTCCCTAACGCATAGACTTTGGGTTCTTAATGTTTCTAAGCCAGACAGAAATTATTTTTGTCTTCCAAATATAATTCAACTCAGGAAGTTTCATGGACTTTATTCTGTGTGCAACACCCAATCCGAAGTGTGTAAGACCTAGTCATGTCCTCAAAATGCTTCAGCATCACCAAAGGAGTGTGAACATACACACCCGAAACTCCTAGGGAACTATTTAAGGCTAATTATGATTAAGTAGGAAAAAATGTCCTTCTCTCCTCCCACAACACACTGTGCTTAATATTTATTAATAGCAGGTAGTCAATACTTTGTTTTATTAATGAATGAGTGAACAGATAAACATATGCTGGTCCAAATTCAGTATTATAAGAAGCTAGAACAGAAAACACCACAGTGGAGCAGAGGTGGAAAGCAGTCATACAATTATTATGCAAATGAGAAACAATAGATAATAGTTTGAATCTAGGGGAAGAAAAACTTTTTCCCCAAAAGTTTCCTTGTGTTTGTTGTTACTGGAATGATGTTCTTTTTGTCTTCTATTTTTTTTTTTTTTTTGAGACAGAGTCTTGCTGTGATGCCCAGGCTGGAGTATAATGGCGCAATCTCAGCTCACTGCAACCCCTGCTTCCTGGGTTTAAGCGGTTCTCCTGCCTTAGCCTCCCAAGTAGCTGGGATTACAGGTGCCTGCTACCACACCCGACTAATTTTTGTATTTTTAGTAGAGACGGGGTTTCACCATATTGGCCAGGCTGGTGTTGAACTCCTGGCCTCAAGTAATCTGCCCATCTCGGCCTCCCAAAGTGCTGGGTTTATAGGCGTTAGCCATCACGGCTGGCCAGAATGATATTCTTTTATATGTACGCTCAGCAGAGCTTCTCAATGAAGGATACTATCTAAATCAATTTAAAAAATAATCTCAGCCAGGTGCAGTGGCTCACACCTAAAATCCCAACACTTTTAGGGTTTACAGGGGAGGCTGAGGTGGAGGATTGCCTGAGCTCAAGAGTTTGAGATAACTGTGACCTATGATCATTCCTCTGCACTCCAGCCTGGGTGACAGAGCAAGACTCTGTCTCAAATAAGTAAACAAATAAATAAAAATAAAAATAATCTTAACATTTTCTCTATTATCCTACTATATGCTATAAAATATATAAAATGCAAATACTGAATATACAAACAGCTTTTCAATTTTCTTCAACTTCTTGGCTACACCATCCCTAGATAGAACTGAGGAGTAACACAAAGTTTGATAAACCTTTATCGATGTACAGCAAGAAGAACAGTAGGAAAAGGAATTTTTAGACATTAGGCAAGAAGGGGCACCAGTGGCTTGCTCAGTGTCACACTGACTTACCAACCTCACAATGACTCTGAAATTTCTGGGTAAATATGTGATATGGTTAGGTTTTGTGTCCCCACCCAAATCTCATCTGGAATTATAGTCCCCGTAATCCCCATGAATCAAGGGAGAGACCAGGTGGAGGTAATTGGATCATGGGGGCAGTTTCCCCATGCTTTTCTTGTGACAGTGAGTGAGTTCTCATGGGATCTGATGGTTTTTATAAGGGGCTCTTCCCCCTTCCCTTGGCACTTCTCCTTCCTGCCACCTTGTGAAGAAGATGCCTTGCTTGCCCTTCGCTTTCTGCCATCATTGTAAGTCTCCTGAGGCCTCCCCAGCCATGCTGAACTGTGAGCCAATTAAACCTCTTTCCTTTATAAATTACCCAGTCTTGGGCAGTTTTTTTATAGCAGTATGAAAATTGACTAATATAATATGCAAATTATTTGGAAGAAAACCAATATCTTCACCCACAGCAGGCTCTCATGATTGTTCAGTCACAACCATTCTATCAATATGAAAAGATCAATCACTCACCTTACACAGTTGAAGCAACATGCGAGAGTCAGAAAAGGCCATTTAATTGATCCTTTCAAAAATCCTAATTCTCAAAACATGATTATTTATCATAAAGAAAAGATATTTGATCATAAAGATATGAAAAATAATAATTTTGGCCTTATCATTTTTGCTTATTTTTTCATTTCTGTTACTACCTTTGCAGTCTTCTCTGGTTTTCATTTTATAAAACAAATGCATCATGGTTCAAAACTTTTTTATCCTGAAGGAATAATCACTTGCAAAGGAGGAAAAAGTCCCACTTAATTAGAAAAAATTTGGCAAAGCCTCATTTGCTTCACCAGAACTGGTACGTCATGCATGAGGTCCGGTGAAAAATGAAAACATTGGGACTGTTCAAAAATGATAAAGCCTTTCACGACAGCAACAGCAAAGTATTAATCCAATGGTGAGCACTTCTATGGGCCCTTCTAACTACACAGGTTGCATGTCCAGGAAGTCAGCCATATTCAAGAGACGCTCTTGGCCAATGGGAAGGGTGAGATGCACCATTCTGAGAAGTATCTTCCCAAGAATGTTAAACAAAGTCCTATTTTATATCAAAGATGGCTCCTCTCTTTTTAACCCCGATCACAAAAATCTATCATTTCTTAACCATGTTCTTAATTCTCTGATTTGTTTTAAAGTTGTCACCTTACCTATTCCCATTCTGTCCCAGGAGATTAACATCCTATAACAACCTGCATAAGGTTTACCTCCCTCCCCATTTCAACTTCACAGCCAATCAAATCTATTGTAAGCTTCATTTTTAGAATGCTCTGGAAAGATCCCTGCGCAGTTCTAATATTTTTTGGATGGTCACTGTTTGTAATCTCTGGGATACACCTTTCTTGGAAATATCAGTTCACTCTCACAGCATCAGAAGATAGTTATCAGAGAAGGAATCTTCATCAAGAAATGAGGATTTGGCTGCTCATGGTGGCACATGTTTATAATCCCAACATTTTGGGAGGCTGAGGTGGGAGGGTCACTTGAGTCCAGGAGTTCAGAAAAGTCTGGGCAACGTAGTGAGACCCCAGCTCTAAAAAGATTTTTTTTAATTTTTTACTTTTTTTCATTTTTTTTATTATACTTTAAGTTTTAGGGTATATGCGCACAACGTGCCGGCTTGTTACATATGTATACATGTGCCATGTTGGTGTGCTGCACCCAAAAAACCTCTTCCTTCTTTAATCTGCTGTCTGAGGGGTTTTGTCTGCAGCTCGTCCTGCTCCATTTCTTGGTTCCCTGACCGGTAACTGAACGGGGGCAGTGGCGGTGAGAGTGCCGAATCCTAACCACTAGACCACCAGGGGAACTTTTAAAAGATTTTTTAAAAATTAGCTGAGCATGGTGGCATGTGCCTGTGGTCCCAGCTACTCAGGAGGCTGAGGTGGGAGAATCACTTGAGCCCAGGAGGTCGAGGCTGCAGTGAGCCACGTTCATGTCACTGCCACTGCACTCCAGCCTGGGCAACAGAGCAAGACCCTGTCTCAAAAAAAAAAAAAAAAAAAAAAAAGGAAAAGAAAAGAAAAAAGAAAGAAGGATTTGAATTCTAAACTCTGGGCAAGTCACTTAGCTTCTCTGAATCCCTGTTTCCTCATATACTAAAGAGGAATACTATCTCCCCTATTAACCTTCTTGAGATAACACCACAGGGAGGTCAGATAGTGTTTATTAAAATGCTTTGGAAACTGTAAAGCACTTTATAAATGTAAAATATAATTTTGGTGATTTTCACTATGTTTTTGTTTCTACAATGCCAGCAAATTACAGGCAGCTACCAATTTGGAGTGAAAAGAATACTGAGCTTTAAACCACTGCATTTGGTTTTAATTCTAGCTGCAGGATGGTGGGCAAATGACCTCACTTCTCCAGGCCCCAGTCTTGTCATCCATGAAACAAAAGGTTTCAGTCATATCACCAAGATTCTCAACAATTCTAAAATAATTTTATTTTCTTTACTTCTTTGACAAAGCATGTATTGGGTTCCTTCTATGTACCAAGGAATAACCTAGAGTTTTTGAGATACAAAGAGGTCATTTTTTAAGGAATTTACTGAGTATACCAGTATATTTCAGAAATTGTGCTTCATGTTGATGGAACTATGATGAGTAAGGCCTAGTCTCTAAGCTCAGGAGTGCAACATAGGGATTAGCTAAGTAGATAGCATATTTTGATATTCTGTGACAATTTGTTCCATGGAGCGGTACTAATGCACTATCAAGGGGGAGAAAAGGGGTAGCCTGCCCAGTGCAGGTCTGGGGATATGTTTAAGAAAGGCTTTCTGGATAAGTAGTAATAAACAGTAACAAATGTTGCTCTTGTCTAGGAGCATATTTGCACTGTTTCCTGTGCATTTGTTCCTTCTGGTCCTCTTCATTTCTTTCCTTTATAGTTAATTTGTGGAACACATTACTCCCAAGTGGTGGCACAGGCTGGACACAGTAACGAGTTAAAGACATCTGTAGATAAATTCCCAAAGGATGTTAGTCTAGACAAATCCTTATTAGATTGTTTAGAGAAAACCTATTGCTTTGAGGGTAAGCAGATTCTATTCTGATTTTTGTCTCAAAACATTTTGGGGGAGACTTCTGAAAAACAGAAAGATGAAACATTGGTTCTTTCTCCATATGATGTGGCCACTGGTGGGGGGTTATTCTTTCCTAATATAATAGGGCACTTCTGAATTTTATGATGAAATGCAGACTGGTTTTCATGACAGCAATGAAAACAGATGAATCAGCAGCCCCAGGAACAAGTCAGGGGCTGAAAATGACAAGGGGATGGCTCATGGCTGCAAAGTTATGAGCACACTTTAGGTGCAAAGCATGAGGGGTGAGTAAAACGCAAGGCTATGGACGCCTGATACTACCTGTTTATCTCCAACACCTCACATCAAAAGAGCTTCATTTGATGCCTGTGTATCTGCTCCAAAATGGTTATTTCGTGCCTTCTATTTCTCGTGAAATATTAAATTGAAGGTGATATAGATGTAAATCAAAGCAAATAGTCTCTTCTCCTATAGGTATTAATCAACCGAATGAAATCCCAGATAACTAAACAGAAATTATTTCATTCTGTGACTGGCATAGATCTGACTTAGAACTGTGAAGTTAATTATCTTAAAAATTGAGTCCTTCAAGGTCACTAGTTACCATATGAAACCCATTTACAAGAGTCCCTGTAATCCACGACATGAGAAACCACAAAAATCTGAAATAAATATCCAGCCAGCAAAGATAATCCATAACTGTACAGTGAAAAGAAAAGCTCTACTATGTTTTTTTTCCCTCCTTCACACATGGTTTAAATATTCAGTCCTCCATGTTCACTTGATGTAAGATTCTGTTATCATTATGAGGGAAACCTATAATATGCCGACCCTACAAAAAGCACTAAGCTCAATGACAAATACCGTCTTTATACACATAGAAAATCCAAGGCTCTTGTGGTGTAATGAGAGTAAACTGGGTAGAATTTAGTGGATGTAAGACTATTCATCTTAAAATACTCCACATCTATTTCAGCCTTATAAAAGAGCTTACTACTCCAAAAAGAATGGTTTTCTTTGAAACAGTGGGTGTTGGTTGTGTTTCCTCAGCAATACGCGTGTACCTGGGAGGCAGGTAGCTTGACAGAAAGACACTGGGATGTTATGTATACAAACAGATCCCTCAGAAGCTGTCACGTACCTCTTTAAGCAAAGTCTCTGGTCTCTGGAAGCCAACGTTTTTTTTTTTTCTTGTTTCTGCCCTACATTACACTTACTTTAATAATCTGGTGATAGGCTAGCAACCCACCTTACTCACAGAGCTACCTTTAGCAATTCTAGAGTTAAAATCATATAGAGAATCAGAAAACATCACCGGAAATGAAATAACTGCCTCCAATTTCCAAGGCAGTGGCTCCTGTGTTGGATCTCCTGGTGCCCAGCTGCTCCCTGCCCATGGGCCTTCTTATTTGGTCAGCTGGATTCTTATTTCCTGAAATCTCCCAAGTCTTGGCTGTGGCTTTCTTCCTCGCCTCTCACTCCAGCCCAAATTGCTTATGCTACCACTCACTCAGCACCAGGTGCAGTTGGCAAAATCCCTCCAGCACCTAGCTTGAGGGCAACCTTTCAGTTTTCTGAAAACTCACCATCCTTGCCCAAAAGAGATGACCTAGGCTCAATCTATCTAGACTGATAAAAAGGAAAAAAATGCAACCAACTGGGATTAAGAGACTATTCCCTGATACAACTCCACAAAGGAGTGGTCTTATCAAAAACACCGGTTTCAAAGATGTACCCGTATTTATTTAGTTTCACATCATAAATGTGGTGGGGAGACAGCAAGGTGACAGAGAGAATAACATTTAATGACCATTGTTCAAACAGCAGTTTCCATGATTTCACTTCAACTCTGTATTTTATTCCAGAAAATATTCACCTTTTGAAAAAATATCAAGAGAATTTCACTTAATTTGAAGAGAAAACCAGCAAGACTGAACCAAGAAGACAGATTTTTTTAGAAGTTGCTCTTATCATTGTTTTGATATGCAATTAGTAAAATTTAGTAAGAGTACTAATTGCCAAAAAGTTATAAAATAATTAGTTTTTAGCATAACTTGAACTAAGTAATTAACTATTAAGTATTAATAATAATTAAAAACGAGAAAAGTCAAGAATATACTTTTTCAAATGCTAGGAAACCAAACAAAATGGGTAGTATGTATACTTTAACACAAGGTAGAGATCTTGATCCTTAGAAATATTAAAAATAGCATCGGAAGATATAAACAAGTATTTTGGGGGACAACCCAGAGACCTCTTTTCTTTCACTGCCATTAGGATTATAGAAAAGTAGAAATGATTTAGTGAAGGCCACCTGTGACTTTGCCTCGGCTATTAAGGTACCATAAAAATATGATTAAAAGTTATAAAAAGACAATAAAGGAGAAGAAACAAAAAAGAAAATACTATTTTGGAAAGTGCTCATAAAAGCAGCAGTGGAGGAGAATCTGACACAAAAATAGTACTTTGAGAATGGCGGGGAGAGTTATAATTTGAACAAGATTATACTCTCTCATAAAGCCAATATTATTTTCATGCAATCAGTGCCTCACTAATGTACAAAATCTAACTTTATGAGATGCGGCAAAGCAGAGGAGAAAGTTGCCTTTGAATGATTACTCTGAAAGTCTAATCAAAGACATTCTCCCACATTATCAAACACAGATGTGCAAACCAAGGAGATGGTTTCTTATTGAAAAAGATTGGCAATAAGATTGAGTACCTTGAATCCAATTCATCTCCTCATAATACCAAATCCTACATATACCTGAGAGGCTCTTCAAAGTCTCCACACACAGAATAATGTTCAACACATGTTTGCCTGTGATGTGCTTTTAACCTAAACCCCAATCTTTATAAGCTGCTCCAGAAACCCAGGTCTTTCTGATATAACAGAGGCATATAAAGACTACTGATCTAACTAAAGAAACATTCATATGTTGGGATAGAGCTGAAGGGGAGCCAGATGAACCCCACAAACCAGAGGCCTTATGTCAGCCAAAACCCACTGGCTGCTTGGTGTTGGCTTGGGTGCGTTTTGGTGCCTGTTTATTGTGTGTTTACACTACAGGTTATAGAACTCAGGGAAGTCTGCACTCTATCAAGTGATATATTCAAATTAAATGCCCTGAAACACAATATCACTCTCCTCCTTTTGCTTCCTCTTTTTTTAAAAAAAAAAAAAAAAAAAAGAGAAAAAGAAAAAGATACATTTCCTTCCTTTTTTGGCTAACATATTTCCTTCCTAATATTATATTTTATTACTAGGAAGATGTTAGGTAACTGAGTGTTACCTACTCATTAATTAAACCTCAGCTTTCATTCTGAAGTTTAATTATATCTTTGATTTTTATCTCTGGAAAATGCTTATGGAAGAAGTTCTTAAATGCAAATAAATAATTAATAACCACTACTTCCTTTTTTATTTTTTAAATTTAGTTTAAGAAACCCTGTGTTGTAGTGATGTTTGCATCATGCTAGGAAGTGGATTTCTTTCCACAGTTTATTTTGAAAAAAATTATTGATGAAGTAAGAAACAACAAATTGGATGCTACTTACTATCTGACCATGGCAGACCTATCTCATGCCAGGAGAGCTTGGAGAGGCAGGATAAACAAACACCAAGTGAGATTACATATAAAATGGTGGTTTGGGTCTCTTTCTCACTTTTTCTGGGTTTTACCTTGAAGATTTAGTTGTAGTACCTATGATACATTTTGCATGCCCCAGACAATCAGCCAATGTAACAGTGCAAAAGAGAAAAGCTAAGGAGATTACCAATTTCTCTCTTATTTCCTGTAGACCCTTTTCAGATATCTTTTTCTATCTTTCTGCCCCAAAGTACAGGCATCATTTATTAATAAAGGACATCACACAAGGATGTGCAGGAGAGGCCAGTTGTTCAGGAAATGGCTATCATTTGGTAAATGATATAATAAACACATTATGATCTTTGATGCAGTGGGTAATGAGCCAGTACATATACAATATCAATGCTAAGATTACACTCTATCACCATACATATTTTTTATCTTACCTGAATTTTCCTCTTTGAGTTGATTTGATTTCTCAAAATTCAAGTCACCTTGTAGCACCATCTAAGACTTTTATTATTATTATTATCCTTTACTTTCCACTATTTTGTATCTATTCCAGTGTACAATAAAAATCTCCCTTATCTAACTGCTTTAGTTTATCACTTAAATGACAGAATTCAAAGGCAAGATTCAGTATTATGAGAATTAAAGAGCATGCATGTTTTTCAAAACCAGACATTATTCTGGAGGAATAAAATTCCCAACCTACTCTATTATTTCCAGAGTTCTAAGAGCTAACCATTTCCAAAGGGGCAAATGCCATCATTTTGTGCAGTGAATGGGAAACCGATATTTTAGGTAACTCTTGCCCACCTGATTCTTTGATCACCTACCTGCCATTTCCTTTTCATATTTAGTTAGGGTCAATGTTCAGTGATTCTCTTTCCTAACCCATCTGCTCTCTCTCCTGCCCATTCTAATCCTGCATGTTTTTGTCTTACTCCTTCACCAACACTTGGGAATTACTTCAGGTATTGAGAGCTTCATCTCTTCCGTGAGTGTGTGACTTTGGTATAGAAGAATGGATTTTGCACATGTTGCTGAAACATTGAGAATACGGAGAGGAGAATGTCAAGATCATCTCTAATTGTTGTTCAGTAATAAGGAAAATGTTCTAAGCACAAGTGATGAAGATATATTGCTTGTACTTTTCCTTCAAGAAAGAACTTGGCATTCAGCTGTGAGGAATGCAAATAGAGCTCACAGCCTGTAGCTATTACTTACTTACTGCCTTTAGGATCCTCCTCAGCTTCTGACTTGAGTCCACACTCTTCTGAGGCAGCTCTCGGTCATGATTGAGCACAGTGGGTGCAATAGGACCTGGCTGTTTTCTGCCCAGTGTTGAGCTCCTAGAACAGGGGATCTTTGGTCGGGAGCTCCTGTTGAGCTGGCCAAGACTCAGCAGATTTGCCCTGTGATTGAGGGCTCTCTGCCTAATCCTGCTTCCTCCCTTTTTTATCTTCCCCAGGTATGCCCCTCAACAAAACTTTTGCACTCCTATTTCTCAGCTCCTGCTTCCTGGAAGATCCAACCAGCAAACTCTGGCTACTGTTACCCACTTCTGAAAAGCTTCCTTTGTTTACAAATACTCCCCACGTCTTCCTAAATCACCAGGCAACCGGCAAGGTAGCAAATATTAAGAAGACAGAGACAAATAACACACATATCAGTAGGTTTGCCAAGACATCAAATGAAATGGAAAACTTGCAGTTTGTTTCTCAGATTCTTCTAAATTTGACAAAAAAATCTTTCATTAATCTCATTACTTTCATGCTGTTTGTACAAAGGGTTCTAAGTAAAGTATCCTAGGATTCTTCCTGATCCACTTCACCCCTTCTACTGTGGCAGTATTTTTTAACTACTGGCCTCCCATTATATTGTAGCTTCTTATTTCAGGCTATTTGGAATTTGTATTTCCAAGACTACCAAATAGCATAAATTTTTACAGCCTGGGTATTCATATAAAGGTTAGCTTAACCATGTTTACTTAACAATAAGTTACAGGTTATACTTAATTCAGGCAAATAACTACTTAATTTTAAGGGGTTATTTTACTCAAAGTTTTTATTTTTATTTTTATTTTTTAAAGAAGACAACCACCATTTTCAATGGATCACTGATCATCTTGAGTTGGACCCCTTACCAGTGTTCTACAGAGGTCGGCCATAGACTCTATATAATTTCATTTCTGAACCAATGATTTGAATGATAAAACAGTATCATTATAAAGTGTGATAACTACAACAATTTGAAGAGAGGTAACCAGCACCTTTGGCAGCAGTGGGAAAATTAAAACCTACTTTGACCAATTTGGAGAAGTGTTTTTGAATAAGGAATATGAAATTTAATGGAAATAAGTGGAAGGCAATGTGCTTACAAAAGAAAACCCAAGTGCATAAACACAAGATGGAAATGTACTCACTGTGTTCAGCCATGGTAGAAAAATATACAAGAGTTACAGAAGGCCACCCACCGAGCATTAGCCATTAGGATAATGGCGCTATTTAAAAAGGAGACAAGACACCCATATGCATGAACTGAAGGATAATGGGTGAGAGCTGTGAAGTCATCAACACATAGTCATTCCTTATTGATCAGGCCCTGACTGTGTGGAGACAGGAAAAATGTGGCAAAGATCAAGAGTACATGGGTGTGATCACATAAATGAAAAATGAAGTCTTTGGAGACAGTAATCTGGAGAAGGAATAGCTGCAGGGTGACAAAGTTTATAAGCTTCTTATAAAAAGGTGACCATATGAAGGATGGTCTTTGTGCTCATAACAGAGCTAACGAAAGCTTGTACTATATCATCAGGAATTTTAGGTAGAAAACTTAAATCCCATAGAAGCCTGGAAGGTACCTTAGCACAGTAAGCCAGGGGAAGCATGAAGCCCTCTTGGAACCTCTTTGATTGTCCCAATTTTGATGTAGGCATAAAATTATTTCCTTTTTTCCTCAACCCTGAAACAAGTAAGATAACTGAATAATCACAATACTAAATAACACCTGAGCCTCAGCTGTGGGGAGGCAAGGAGGCAAGGTAGAGACTATGACAAGCTGGAGGTCAGGTGCTTCAGCTAAATGGGCAAGCCATATTGTCAGATGGAATATGGCTCCAGGGGGGCCAGGCAGCCTAATTTTTCTAGGAGAAGCCAGGAATCTGCATTTATATGAAATTTATTTATTTATTTATTTATTTATTTATTTATTTATTTATTTATTTTGAGACGGAGTCTCACTGTGTCGTTCAGGCTGGAGTGCAGTGGCGGGATCTCGGCTCACTGCAACCTTCGCCTCCCGAGTTCAAGAGATTTCCCCTGCCTCAGCCTCCCGAGTAGCTGGGACTACAGGCGTGCGCCACCACGCCCGGCTAATTTTTTGTATTTTAGTAGAGACAGGGTTTCACTATGTTGGCCAGGCTGGTCTTGAACTCCTGACCTCAGGTGATCCACCTGCCTTGGCCTCCCAAAGTGCTGGGATTACAGGCGTGAGCCACCACACCCAGCTGCATCTTCTTTTTTTATTTCAAATGTGCAGTTTTCATTTTCCTAAAAGTACAAAACATATATGGTATTTTTGTAAAGCATCATAATTGCCACTGTGCCCTTGTAACTATTCAGTTTCTCCAGAGAATAATTTTCTGAAGAGAATATACTGGGAGTAGATTTTTATTTGATTCCCTGGTTTCAGTCCAGCTTCACTTTCTCTTATGCTCAGTGTCTTTGAAACTGGACCCTTTTTTGTTCAAATTCTCTAGGGTCATGAGGAGATAGGGAAAGGGGGTGAACTTAGCAGCATGGACTGGGGGAGGTTCTAACTTCAAATATAAACATTCAACTGATGGAGTTCAGGACATGCTACCTCAAAATATGGCACCTTGAGTAAACAGCAGAAGCAGGAAGGTCTCTCTGACCTCCTCCCACCCTCCTTAAGCAGGACATAAATGTTTTTTCTGACCTTTCTTTGAAGAAGGTCATAAAATTCTCATTCGAGAGATATCTCCTATACCCAGAAGAAAGAGACATCCATTTTTCTGAAGACACAGGGACAAAGAGAAGAATCTGAGCAAAGAGGTCTTGCTAAGTACCCCCAAGTTTATTACCATTAGATCATACCCTCTTTGTCCAATCATATTTCCCCAAGGCTGTCCACTTCGTCATACTTAGCATAAAAGTACATAAGGTTCCTTGTTTTTTTTGGGTCTTCACTTCTGAAGGCTCCTGTGTCACATAAAATGTATACTAAATGTATGCTTTTCTCTTGTTAATCTGTCTTTTGCTTTAGGGATCTCAACCATGAACCTTGCAAATGGGTGAGGAAAAGATATCACTTTTTCTCCTTTGCAAAACCAAACCATCTGTTTTCAGCTCCATGGTTATGCTGGCCCTGTTGGTAGTTCTGAAAAATACATTAAAATTGTTCTTTTTGAATGTGAAAATCAAACAAAAGTTAAATGCTATGAAGGGGGAGGAAGAGTTAAAAGATAAAATTCCTCGTTACCCAACTTTCAGACGTGAGCTTTTAGAATATATTTCCAGAATTCAGAACATTTTCTTTATGCCTGTTCTTTGGCATTCTACCCCCGCTATACCCACGCAATTTCACATATAGTCCAATTAGCTTAAGTGAGGGCAAAATGCCCTAAAAGCTTCAAATAAATACATAAACTCTACTGGAAAGACCATAAGGCTGACAGTACAGAAATAAAACCGGTGGCTCCCAGTATGTACCCCTGGGTGAGAACCAGAAATGCTCATTTGTTAGCTGAGGTATTGAAGAGTATGTTCCGCATTTCTAGGGAATGCCCATAGAAAAGGGTTGAAGTCAGACACACAAAATCAAGGACTACCTGGGACAGGTGGAGACTGCATGAATTCTGTGTCCAAAGTCATGCCAAGGAGTTGATGTCATAAGTTGATAGTCTGTGAGTTGCTCACAGCCTGTGTGATACTGGAAGGCTGAAGCATAGAAGTCATTTCACTGATCTATCATCCCTCTCCCTCCAGTATCATGCCTGTTTACCTCATTTCTCTCTTCAGGGTGTCACTAGTAGGTTCTCATTTAATATGTGTCTGTGTGCCTCATCCACTCCATATCCACATGCCTGTATGTCTCTGTCTTTTAACAGTTCCACGGCTTTTGGTCTCTGTGGCGTACTCTGTGTTACAACACACACACACACACACACACACACACACACAAACCAACTGACACATTTCCCACCTTCAAAGCTCAGATTTCTAACCATCTCCCATGATAAAATATATACCAGGCCCAGCAGCAACACCATTAAAAGATCAAACACCATGTATCCGCTGGAAGCTCTAATTTCTTAAGTGTTCTTTCCCTAACCCCCTACCACTTTTCTGCTGTCACTAAGAAAATAGCCTCCTTGCTGTTGACGATACTCTTCCCCCACTTAAAAGAGAAGAAAAGAAAAGAAAGTTCATGGCTGGCAACTTCAATTTCCGTTTTCTTCCATGTACATAGTATATTAAAACATCCTGTATTATATGGGGCCAAAGCAGGTGTGAGGAGTAGGGTCAGGCATAGGGGGTGAGGGTGGAGGAGAACTAGTTAAAGAGAGAAAGAGAAGATATTGTGGGTGGGGGGTGGTGGTAAGGAAGGCAGGGGGCAGAGGGACTGAAAAGAAAACATACGTCAGGAGGCTCAGACACAAGCACGCTGTTCTCCACAGCTGTGAGCCAGGCCAGGGTGACTGGACTGTGCTTTTATAAGAAATGTGTCAGATGCTTTGTAGTTACTACTTAATTTTACAGATGGTCAGAGAAAGTGCTTATGTTACTTGCCTAAAGTTACCATTGGAGGCTGATGAATACAAGATGTCTTAACACAGGACCTATGTGTAAGGCAGCAGAAACAATTGAAGGAGCACAAGTTTCCCTGTAGGATCTGAAGTTACGTGTTTGAAGCAATGATAGCAAAGCATGTCTGAAGGCAAATTGGTGAAAATCAATCACATCAGGACCATGAAGTCAAGAATCTAAACAGCTCCCTAACTCCACTCTATGGCTGGCTTTCTAAGAGTCACACCATTTTTATCTCCTTCATGCTCGGAGCACATGTTATTGGCTATCAACACAAAGCTGGGGAAGGTGCCAGAGATAAGGCTGAGCCTGAAGCTGATTCATTGAGGGCAATTAGGAGATATTTGATGGGAACACTTTCCTACAGTCGGGGGCTTCATCCACTTAGTCACTTGGGCATTGCTTTCATTAGAAACTGAAGTAATGCAGAGAAGTAAGACGACCTTAGTCATAATGAGGATATTTATTATAAACAGACTTGAGACATACAAGATTTAGCATTGAGGATAATGCTGATAGAAATGAATTTTGGGAGTTTCCTTCCTAATGAAAAGCCAGATAAAGGAAAAGAGATTTAGTCATTCTGTGTTGCCAAATTGGTAAAAGCTTTTGAGGACAAAGTAATAATATAGATATTGCCTGGGTAACAGACAAAAGAGATTCCAGAAAAGATTGTGGAAAGCAATTTTCCGTTAAATTAATCTTGTTTTCTCACTGACTTACATTATAAAATCAAAGATGCATGGTGATGAGAAAAAAATGTTGACACCTGGATGGAATAAGGTTCAAAGAACACAGTAACTCAGGTAAAATAAGGTATTTTAGGACACGTTTTTCAGGTCAAAGTAGTTCTAATATTAAATACTAAAACATCACTAATAATACCATGATGTAATCAAAGAAATCACAACATAAAACACTGACAATGAAATCAGAGTAAATTCTCAGAAATTCTCTGGTCATACAGCTGCATATGCTGCTCTACCTCATGTTGCTCCTATTTGGAGTCTTGCAGTCTCCAAAGTTTTAGTAATTTGTCTAAGCTTTTCATCAGCCTATAACACATGAAGAGTTTTAACTTCATATTCAAGGTAATTTTAAAACAAAGAAATGAAATCTCTATTTTATGTCAACTTCAACATACTTCATGTTGGTCTGGTTGCTCTGAGATATTTGGAAGCTGTTTACTTCTTTAAAGATGTGTTGCTCTAGTAGACATCTGATTCTTGTTCTTCATTCTCCTTCTGTATAAACTACTTATAGGTTATTGAAACTAATCCACAGAAAAATTAAATTGTAGAGACGGGATATTAATCTGTTTTGTTCACTTACATCTTCCTAATGCCTATCAGAGTGCCTGCATATCAAAGACAATCAGTAAATATTAATTGAATATACTAATGAATTCAATCTTCCCTCCCATCTATTCCTTCCTCCCTTTAGTCATACAGAAACATTTTCTGTCAGACACTGTGCTAGAGGCTGAGGATACAACAGACAGTGGATAAAACAGACACAGTTCCATGCCCAGATGGAACAATGAGTAATTTTTAAAACTGGAGAAATACAGTCATATGCAATGCTGTTTTGATTAACTAGGGACCACATACATATATGACAGTGGTCCCATAAGATTATAATATTGTATTTTTACTGTATCTTTTATATATTATTTACCTATTTTTCCTTTTATTTTTAGTTGATGTGTAATAATTGTACATATTTAGGAGTAATACAGAGTGATATTTTAATATGCACATATAATGTATAATGACAAAATCAGGGTAATTAGCATATCCATCATTTCAAACATGCATCATTTCTTCGTGTTGGGAACATTCAAAATCCTCTCCTCTAGGTTTTTGAAAAATATACAATAAATTGTAGTTAACCACATTTAACCAACAGTGCTGTCGGAAGCTATGATTTTGAGTCTGTTAACCAACCTCTCCCTACCCTCTCCTTCCCCCATGCTTCCCAGCCTCTAATAGCCACAATTCTGGTCTCTACTTTCATGAGCTTAAACATTTTTTTTAGCTTCTACATATACATAAGAACATGCAGTATTTATCTTTCTGTGCCTGACTTATTTTGTTTAACATAATGTCCTCCAGGCTCATCCATGTTGCTGCAAATGACAGAATTTCACTCTTTATATGGCTGAATAGTATTCCATTGTGTATATATACCACATTTTCTTTAATTACTCATCTGTTAATGGACATTTTGGTTGATTCCATATCTTAGCTATTGTGAACAGTGATGCATTAAACATGCGGGTGCAGGTATCCCTTTGATATACTGACTCCTTTCCTTTAAAAATACCCAGTAGTGGGATTGTTGGATTGCATGGCAGTCCTAATTTTAATATAGATTTTAAACCACTATACTGTTTCCCATAATGGTTCTACTAATTTACATCCCCACCAACAGTGTCTAAGAGTTCCCTTTTCTTTAGCATTTTTTATTTTTTTATTTTTTATTTTTTTGATCATAGCCATTCAAACTCGGATAAGATGAAATCTCACTGTGGTTTTGGTTTGTATTTCCCTGATGATTAGTAATGTCAAGCATTTTTTAATGTAATTGTTGGCCATTTGTAGGCCTTCTTTTGAGAAATGTCTGTTTAGCTTATTTGTGCACATTTTAATTGGATATTTGTTTTTCGGCTGTTGAGTTATTTGACCTCCTTAGGTGTTCCGGATATTAGTTTCTTGTTGGATGAACAGTTTGTAAATATTTTCACCCAGAGTGGAGTGGCCTCTTCACTCTGTTGATTGTTTCCTTTACTGTCCAGAAACTTTTCAGTAAACTATAATCCCATTTGTCTATTTTTGTTTTTGCTGCCTGTGCTTTTGATATCTTAGCCATAAAATCTTTGACTAGACCAATATTCTGAACTGTTTCCCCTGGTTTCCTCAAGTAGTTGCATAGTTTGGGATCTTACCTTTAAGTCTTTAATTCATTTTGAGTTAATTTTTGTATATGGTGAGAGATTTGGGCCTGGTTTCATTTTTCTGCACACAGATATCAAGTTTTCCCACACCATTTATTAAAGAGGGTGTCCCTTCCTGAATGTATATTGATGCCGTTGTTGAAAATCAGTTGGCTGTAAATATATGAACTCATTTCTGGGTTCTCTATTGTGTTCCATTGGTCTATGTGTATGTTTTTATACTAATATCATGCTGCTTTGGTTATGGTAGCTTTGTAGTCTATTTTGAAGTTGCAGTGTGATGCCTCCAGCTTTTTCTTTTTGCTTGGGATTGCTTTGACTATTCAGGGTCTTTTGTGGTTCTACGTAGATTTTAGGAATTTTTCTATTTCATTTATACCTTTATACAGAATAATACTGTATAAGATCTTCAGAATTAATAATGTTAAAATGACCATACTACCCAAAGCAATCTATAGATTCAATGCAACTCCTATTGTTACCTTGTGACAAGGAGCTTAGAGAGCATTTAACAGGGGGATTCATTCTAGGTAGTGGTTTTTCAGTCTCTACTTAAAAATATTCAGCAATATAACTCTCTACTTAGAATAAGGAAGATCTCTTTTAGGACACACATAATTGTTTCAAAGTTCATCTTAGATTTTAAAAAGATACATTTTCCTGTTTATTGTCTATATTAATTGCTTTACTTCTGCCTCCTTCTCCCCTGTCTTCCAAGGGACAGGCCTTGGAATCTTTGAACACAGCAATTATAGCTCTCCTGTTTTCTCTTCTCCAGGTCAAATGTTTTGTTTCTTCAGTTATTCTCTATATAAAATTGGTCACCATCCCGGTCGGTGTCCTTGTTGCATGTTCTTAAAGCACAACTTATAGCGCCCGTAACTGAACAAAGTCAGCAGGATAGGAAGTCCAATTATCTCTCTCTGGATGCCATGTGATTATGAACTCCATCTATGCTTACTTTATTTTTCTTAGCAGACATGTTGCTGCACTACTGACTAAAATTAACATTACATTTAACCAAGCCAATACCTCCAACACTTTAAATTACATGTGGACCATTTGAAAAACTAGTTAAAACCAATTGTCAAATTCTAATTCAGTAAGCTTGAGGTGGGTTCTCAGATAATTTCTACCAATTCTCAGGTGCTAGTCCACAGACCACACTTTTAGTAGCATAGAAGTAAACCACTGAAGGCCAAACCACCTCAATCACTACCTGAGTTGTGTCAATTATTTTTGTAAATCTATTTGAGCTACTAAACTTCTCCTTTTTAAAATTAATTCACAGTTTTATATTTTTAAATCTTGATACAATAACACTGCATTTGATCTATTTCTTCTTATTTTGTGTTGATAACTTTACTATCATTAAAATTTTATTTTCCTTTGTGGTAAAATAGACTAATATTTGACTTAAGATATTTCTTAGATGATGAACTGATATTCAAAACAAAAAAATACTATATAAACTTGAGTTATCATTACATCAAGAGATGCTTCAAGTTTGATTATTTCAGTGAAACAACTTGAAACAAAATGATATTCAGTAAACTTCAAGCGAATTTTACAAATTTTACATGTTAATAGAGGCTACCAGAGATATATGCCTATCCAGGGTAGTATACATTTCATTGGACCATTAGTTAAATTTTATCCCCCTTCCCCCACCAATCTCTGGACTTTTTCCAGACTTATTTTCCCAGGACCACCTGTTCAATTTGTTATGGTTGCTTCCTCATGTAATACCTAAAATAATGCTGGTTCAGCTATAGAACTCCAACCCATGTCCTCTGAGACACAAAGCTATCTGGAAATTCACTATAATTCAACAAAGACTGGTTACTTGGAAGTTAGGTTTATAGAATTATATTCCCACTTGAATAGGTTTTCTCATGGTTACTTCCTTATCAGAGACAAATTCCATGATAAAATATTTTATTATTATACATCCTTTCAGAATTCTTGTGAATTAAGCAGAAGTAATTACAATTAACTGATTAGCTACATGATAGCATTGAGACACAAAATTATGAAATGGATTTTCCAGAGTAGGGTGCTTACTCCCAGTAAAAGTCAAAGCTAGTTAAATTATGACATGAGAATCACTGAGAAGTTACATTATGTATTACTGCTATTGCCAGAACTAGATAGAATATAAATTAAATGATGTTTTCCCATGGTAATATTCTCCATGTAACTGGAGTTTAACAATTTAGCTGGAAATGAAAGTAATATTAAAGAATGGGAACAGATGACAAAGTGGAAACAAACAAACGAAAAATGAGTTAAAACATCCATAAGCACATATTGGAAGGGAAGTTTAGAATTAAGACCAAGACATAAACTGTACAACACTGTCTTCTTTATAGCTCTTTGGTTGGATGCTACAATCTTTCCCCATCACAGATGACAAAAACACCTCATGAAGCCTTTTTTTTTTTTTTTTTTTTTTTTTTGAGATGGAGTCTCACTCTGTTGCCCAGGCTGGAGAGCACTGTTGCAATCTCAGCTCACTGCAACCTTCGCCTCCTGAGTTGAAGCAATTCTCTGCCTCAGCCTCCCGAGTAGCTGGGATTACAGGTGTCTGCCACCATGCCCGGCTAATTTTTGTATTAAAACTAAAAGTAGAGACGGGGTTTCACCACCTTGACCAGGCTAGTCTTGAACTCTTGACCTGGTGATCCACCCGCCTTGGCCTCCCAAACTGCTGGGCTTACAGGCATGAGCCACCATGCCCGGCCAGCATTTTGTTATTTGAAGAAAAAAGTAGAACACTGATTTGGTAATTATATCTAAAATAAATGAACTAAAATGTCATAAACTGGCTATTTTTTGACACAAGCACTTATTAACCTCATTTACAAAAAGAAAGTAAGTTATGATTATATTTACTTATGCACCAAAACAGAAAATAACTTCATTTAACTTCAAAGTAACAGTAGGGCACACTCTATTTAACTTGGGAGAGACTGAATGACATATTTAATATGCAAACCAAAAGGACCTTTAAGTAAAATTAGTACTCTCAGCAGAGTAATCTCTTTTTATCTGTAACAACCAAAAAGTCAAAGAGCATAGGGTAGATCAACTTTGGCATTTCAACTTTAACAACACTCTATCTAATAAATGATTTACAGTCAATGAAAACAGTTGCCAAAACATTTTTCCAGTGCATGTGCTTTCCAACAGATATAAATATTGAATTGGAATTGAGACAATATCTAGGAAACCATGTTCAAAATACATCTATGAACAGTTACTTAGAAACTTAAAATACATAGAGACATAAAGAAGATGTAAGTATGCTAAAACTGGGGATCTGTTCAGGCTCCAAAAATTATTATTACTTATTAGCTTAAATAAACCTCAAGTCACAAAATATCTTTCAACTAGGCATGTCTTCACCAAACTGTGTTGCTGAAAGGTGTTGCTGGTGTTTGCACTGTGAAGCATGTATTTGGTTGAATTTCTGCTAAATTTGGAATTGTCTATACAGGTTATCTAATTAGGAAGCCACTGTCTAGGGAAAGACAAAAATGTAGTCACAAAGAACCTAAAAATACTTTTAAAAAATAACACTTGTTAGGTTACATTAGAAAAGGTTAGGTTAGATTACCTTTTTTTTTTTTTTTACAAGAAATAAAAAGTAGACAAGAAATAAAGATGTTCCACTAAGGAAAGAGCCAACCCCACAAGTATTCCTTAAGATACTGACAATATGGCTAATAAGCAAAGTGAACATGGTCTTAATCCTGCACCTAGGCCTACATTTGCAACTTGGTTCTTAAAAGTGGCCATTTTTCTTCACCCAGCTAAGGCATTTAGGGTCCTTGCACACATGTTCATCTCTTCTTAATGGTTACTGTGCACTGTAACATAATTACCTGCTTTTGTTTACCTTTTCCATTAGAAAATAAACTCCTTAAGAGCAAGGAATAGGGCTCATTAACTAACATTTCTCAGGAAATAATAGGCACTTAGCAAATGTTTGGGCCATGAACAAATGAATGTGTCCCAAATTCACCAGACTGTGGAAGCCAGAAAGAAGATCTGACCATCTCTTGCAGAAGAAATAAAGAATGGTAACTGTGCAACAAGTTATTACCTTAAGTGGTATTTAAAGGCAGACATAGTGAAGAAATGAAGAGAAGGAAAGAGGAAGAAATTCAAGCCAAGTCGCATAAATGTTGCCCCTGGGGAAATAAGATCAGAGATTCTAAGTCCAATGTAAAAATCAGGAATGGAGTTGCTCATTTTAAGTACAGACTTTCCAGTCTTTAAGGGAAAAAGGCCCTAGAAATAACTATCCTTTGACTTGCAGATGAAAAGGGAACTCATGGTCAAATGGTATGATAATCACAATCCTGATATCACATATATTCTCACTCATATGAAGTTACCCAAAATTACTCAGGCTGGTTCTTAGAGAAGTATTCTTAATTAAAGAGAAGGGTTGGCTGGATGCGGTGGCTCACACCTGTAATCCCAGCACTTTGGGAGGCCGAGGTGCGTAGATCGCTTGAGGACAGGAGTTTGAGACCAGCCTGGCCAACATGGTGAAACCTTGTCTCTACTGATATAGTTTGGCTGTGTCCCCACCCAAATGTCATCTTGAATTGTAACTATCACAATTCCTATGTGTCATGGGAGGAACTGGCGGGAGGTGATTGAATTATAGTCTTACTTGTGCTGTTCTTACCCGTGCTGTTCTCGTGATAGTGAATGAGTCTCACAAGATCTGATGGTTCTTACCTGTGCGGGTCTTACCTGTGCTGTTCTCATGATAGTGAATGAGTCTCACAAGATCTGATGGTTTTAAAAACAGGAGTTTCCCTGCACAAGCTCTCTCTTTTTGCCTCCTGTCATCCATGTAAGATGTGACTTGCTCCTCCTTGCCTTCTGCCATGATTGTGAGGCCTCCCCAGCCACGTAGAACTGTAAGTCCATCGAACCTCTTTTTTTTTTTCCCCAGTCTTGTGTATGTCTTTATCAGCAGCATGAAAATGGACTCTATAAACCTCAGTGTTATGTGGCTCTGCAAGATGATCCAACATGTTGGAACAGCCACGTTTAAAACATATATCTCTTGCCTCTTGGTGCCAAAGCTCTTCCTACTACAGCTCATGGCACTTCAGTGCAACACACAGGTACCATGATACACATGGCATGTAGGACTTAGACACACACAGAAAAGAGACTGTCAACATGCTAGACAATTCTACAACGAGCATAGTGAGTTCCTGAGAGCAGGGACTTTCAGAAAGCATGATGGTAAGCCTTAGAGATATACAAGAGCCAGTGGACATTGTAGACATTTGCTGTCTGTTCCTGAGACTTCCCACCATGTTCCAAAGATGGGGCAGGCATAACTGTTTGGAATTGACTTATTTAGTGGCATGGCTACTAATGCTTATATTTGGATTGGATCAAAGCAACACAGATTATAAATTCCATGAGAGGGACTTATTTATATATAAATCCCCATGGCCTCTAGAACTGTTGGTGCTTTGGAAAGGATGAACGGAAGGGAGGGGCATAAACTATAGGCTTGTTCCTTATCTCAAATTTCAGATACTCTTGCCTTTAAAAGGATGGTAAAATAAATGCTTCTCTTACAACTTCAAGATAAAATGATTTCCTTTTTGATCATGGAGAAACGTATGAAACCCACATTTGAGGGAGGAATGTGTCAATTGTATCACCAAGTATGCACATCTGCCTTAGGTAAAAGACACATGAGGAAAGAATTACTTGATGTAGTTTGTTCTCACTTATGCTTTGTCCTTCACTTTGGTGTGATCTGAGGATTAACATTTTGCAGGATGGAAAGTGCATTCAACTAATGATAAGCAAAACTTTCTTACATCAGAATGCCTCCTTTCCACAGGACAACTAAAACTCATCAGAGGAAACTCAACAGACCCTCATTTTTGGAGGACCAAATGAAAAGGCCATAGAGAAAGAAACATTGTAAGACTTCAAAAAGCAGAGGTGATATTCTAACTAAGAAACTGTCTGGGCTCTATCTTGGGTTCCTATATCTGCCCTCTGACAACAAACACATACAAATACCCTTTGAGGTTACAATGTTATTTTTGGTTACAATTAGTGTCAGGGAAATCAATGGCTTTTTCATAGCATGCATTTGTTCTTACCTTTCCTCTGATCAGTTCTGTCACCCTTGAATTGAATTCATCTTGCACATTCAGGTATGTGACCACGTGCTAACATTTTGGGGGGATGGGTTGTTCAAATGGCCAGGATTATTATTTATTCTTAAGAAAATTAAAATCTACAAAGTAGCTTCAAAAGCTTTTCTCTAAGTTAGCAGCTGGATTTATTGTTAAAAACATAAATATGAGCATGAGAGCACACTCTTGCACACATGCACGAGCACATGCACACATACACACAGTTATAAACTGAAGAGATGTCAACACCCTTTAGAGGTTACAGGTTAGTCCACCAGTTAAAGAAGAATGTGCTGAGTTGAAACTGATCTTTACATAGGTAAATACATATTTCCACAAGAGACCACTCAATCATTCTCCAATCACTGTTGCTAACGGGGTAGGAAAAAGAGGTCTACATTTTCCAAAAGAGAAGGAATTTCTAATAAAGACCATCTGTAACTTGGTTCTCTCCATGCTATCAATTAGGAATACTTAAAAGACATTCCCTTTCACAAATATATTTCTGCAACCTACAGAAAAGGGGTAAAATTTCAGTAACAAATATACCTTTGATGAACTCCTGACATACCAGAATAACAAGGAAAAAAAAACAGGCCCACCACCATCTTAGAGGGAATCATAGAGAGATCTAGTGGCCCTTCTAGTTAATGCATGGGATACAGTGATAAGAGGAAAAGAAAGGTATCTGGGTTTCTTCTTCTCATTCCACGTCTTCAGGGTACATGGAAAATATTCTAAGACTAGAATTGTCAAGCATTTTGGCTGTAGATTCTTTCCCTCAAAGAAGTTTATATCAGAAACCTGATTTGATAAACAAACAAAAGAGGAATTTCTCTGATGGAATTGGCTGTGTCCCTATATCCTCCTCTCTGAGTGCCACACTAGGAAGAAGCCCAGGGTGGTTAGGAATCAAGTATAAACATTTATGTTCTATAATGTGAGTCACACATGTAACTTTTAATTTTCTATTAGGCACATTAAAAAGGTAAAAGGAAACAAGTAAAATTAATTTTAATATTTTAAGGCAATATATCTAATATATTATAATTTCAATATATAAGCAATAGAAAATTTGTTTAGATATTTTACATTCTTTTTTTATACTAAAATGTGTCTTTTACTCTTTTAGCTCCCCTCAATTCAGACCTGTCACATTCAAGAGCTCAAAAGCCACATGTGGTTAGTGGCTACCCTATTAGACAATGTACGTATAGAGTATTTCCCCCAGAGCTTTTCTCATTCCCCTCTCACCTACCCAACAGATTCAGTCCCTCTCCTTTTTTCTTTGTCTGGGGTAGTATGTACTTTCATAAAACCCCTCTACTAAGTAAAACTGTTCTGTTTTGTTTTACTTTACAAACTTAAACCACATTCATGAGTTAACTATTATTCATTTCTATTAATCTGTTTACTACTCATTAAATTAAATCTTTTAAATAAAAATAAAATAGAAAAACTGCTCTGCTATATAACAGCTAAGGAATGAATCACTAACCTCACTAATTCAAGCCTCAGTTTCCTCATATATAAAATGTGGATAATAATACCCTCCTTGTATATGGCTGTGGGGAGGATTAGAGACAAACATAGTATCAATTCCCTAACTAGGTACTTTGCACACTGTGGGTTTTCAGTGAAAAGTGGACACTACTATTTAGTGTAGGTAGGGAAGGGAGAGCTCTCTGCACCCTCCTCCTCATACTGGATGCATTTAATCCAGATGAAGGAGAGAAGAGGGGAAGCCGTCTTGAATGCTCTTAGCTTCCCAACCTCCCTCTCAAACCCCTCAAAAGCTCCTCAAGCCACTACTCAGGATAGGTGGCGATGAACAGAAAAGTGTAGGGAATGGCAAAAAGTAGAAGACCACAAATATTTTCTTTGGTTTCTCCTTATTTCTCCTCATTTCTCTCTGTTTCTCTTTCCTCTCTCCAGAGCGCTTTCTCCCTCCCCTCTTTCTTCTCCTCTTCCACCTCCTTTCTTTTCTCCCTTCCTTCCTTCTCTTTTTCTCCCATAAAAGGGGCTTGGGGAGATCTTCAACTAGTTGGAACTGTCCATCTCTAACACCTCTCCTTAAACTTCAAGTCCATTTCAGGAAATATGGAGGAATACAGTTTACGAGTATGGATTGTTATAAATGAGAAAGACACTCACAACATATACACCTCTCTATACAGTAGCAAAGATGATGTGAGAAAAGGGTGTTAGCTAAAAAGGCAAGCAAAGTTGGAGACTGACAGAGGGCCCACAGAAAATACTATCTTTTATATTACAATGATATCAACACAGGCTTTTCTTGTTTTTCTTTTTTTTGAGACCGAGTCTGGCACTGTCACCCTGGCTAGAGTACAATGGCACGATTTCGGCTCACTGTAACTTCCACCTCCCGGGTTCACGCGATTCTCCTGCCTCGGTTTCCCGAGTAGCTGGGATTACAGGCTCACACCACCACACCAGGCTAATTTTTTGTATTTTTAGTTGAGATGGGGTTTCACAGTTGGCCGAACTGGTTTTGAACTCCTGACCTTGTGATCTGCCCGCCTCAGCTTCTGAAAGTGCTGGGATTACAGGCATGAGCCACTGTGCCTGGCCAAATATAAATGCTCTACTTCTTTTTTTTTTTTTTTTTTTTTTTGAGACGGAGTCTCACTCTGTCGCCCAGGCTGGAGTGGAATGGCTCATTCTTGGCTCACCGCAACCTCCGCTGCCTGGGTTCAAGCAATTCTCCTGCCTCAGCCTCCTGAGTACCTGGGATTACAGGCACCCACCACTACGTCCAGCTAATTTTTTGTATTTTTAGTAGAGATGGGGTTTTGTCATGTTGGCCAGCCTGGTCTCGAACTCCTGACCTCAGGTGATCCACCCGCCTCGGCCTCTCAAAGTGCTGGGCTTACAGGTGTGAACCACCACGCCCGGCCCAACACAGGCTTTTCTAAGAACAGAAAAGATGGGTGGAAAGGGCCTGTGAGAACATCACACCTCCACCCTAGCCCAGATGAGGCTGTGAGGAGAACTTCTGGCTTAGGTTTCTAGGAAAAGGGAAACTCCTACTGCCTGCTCAGGGGTTTAAGAGACTAGGATCATTGATACCTGATCTGTCATCTATGGAGTGTGTGTGTATGTGTACGTGTGTGTGTGTGTGTGTGTGTGTGGAATATATGTGCATGTGTGCTTATATGCACGTAAATCTGTGAACGTTTGTATGCACATGTCTGTGTGTGTGTTTGTATGTGTGTGCCCATTTTCCTGCATGTATGTAAACTTGTGTTTGCCCTGTCTTTGTGCATATGTCGTCACATGTATATGTTTATGTGTATGTACTTGTGGTGGGCGTGGAGGGAGGCTGCCTTTTTCGCCAACACTAAAGCAATATCAGACATTGCATGCCTATTCCTCCCCATTGTTCTTTCTGCTTTTTCTTTTCCGTCGAGGAAGAGAGAAAGAAATAAACATCCATTTGAGAGAAGTCACTGGCTTTGGTCTAGGTTTGCCCATGAATGGCCCTCAATAAAACTATGTCTGCTTTAGGAGAAACGACTAAGGAACCACATTATAGTTTAGAAATTAACACCCAACTCTTCCCTACCTCCTTCCTCTCCTTTCTCTAACCCTTCTTGCTCCGCACTGTCTTGGGAGTAAAGCTGAAATGTTTATAAATTCCAGTTTTAAGAACTGTCCCACCTCTAACACCACTTCCTCTGTAGGTCACATAGGCTCATTTTAAAACAAAAATCTTGATTGATTGTCTGTCATAAATTGAAATCATACTCTTTTAAATGACAACTAAAAGGGCTGTAATGTAGCCCCAAAAGAAATGCCTTCTGAAACTTTCCTCTGAGCAAACAAATGAAAATAAACCAATGAAAACACACAGGATGGGCTTCCCTGGAGCTACAGAGTCAGGTCTATAGTTGCCTCAGCCTATGCCCTGCTGTCTTCTGGGTTAACCCAAGCAAGGAGACTGGATCAAACAGCCCTGAGGGCTGGCTGTTGTTGCAAGCCAAGGCTAGCAAGAGTCCAACACCCATTAATTCTAGTATTTTCATAAAATTTTTATATTTTAATAATTTTTTTTTTGGGGTGGAGTCTGGCTCTGTCTCCCAGGCTGGAGTGCCATGGCGTGATCTTCGCTCACTGCAACCTCCGCCTTCTAGGTTCAAGCGATTCTCCTCCCTCAGCCTCCTGAGTAGCTGGGATTACAGGCACATGCCACCATGCCCGGCTAATTTCTGTATTTTTAGTAGAGACAGGGTTTCTCCATGTTGGTCAGGCTGGTCTCGAACTCCTGACCACAGGTGATCCACCCGCCTCAGCCTCCCAAAGTGCTGGGATTACAGTCGTGAGCCACCGTGCCCAGCCTACGTTAATGATTTATTTTATTTTATTTATTTATTTATTTATTTATTTATTTATTTATTTATTTTGAGACGGCGTTTTGCTCTGTTGTCCAGGCTAGAGTGCAATGGGGCGATCTTGGCTCACTGCAACCTCCGCCCCACTAGTTCAAGTGATTCTCTTGCCTCAGCCTCCCGAGTAGCTGGGATTACAGGCATGTGCCAACACGCCCGGCTAATTTTTGTGTTATTTTTAGTAGAGATGGGGTTTTGCCACATTGGTCAGGCTGGTCTCGAACTCCTGACCTCAGGTGATCCACCTGCCTCTGCCTCCCACAATGCTAGGATTACAGATATGAGACACTGTGCCCGGCCATGATTATTTCTTATACATATTTCCTCAATCTTCTGAGGATGCAAACTCCAATGAGGAGGGCCCTTAATTCCTTCTCAAAACTCTAGCCTACCGCATGTTGCTTCTTAACATCTGAATGTCTGTTCAACTCTGTCATTACACTTACTTTCACAGAGTCATAACCCAGATGGACAAAGATGCACTGAGGCTGCAGTTACCTTGCAAGAGTTCTTCATGGTGTGTGATCTAATATTTTATCTTATTTGAAAGTCATCCACTGTCTGAGCTAAGAAGCTAGTCGAATGGCATGTGCTAATGTCTTACCATATGTGATAATTCTAGCTTAGGAGTGGGTGAATATTGCCCCAAAACTGTTCTCTCTTGAATAGGAGCTACTTCACCCATTTAACTAAATATGCCTCGAGCACTTGCTAGATGAAAGGTATACAGAAAGTAAAATAATTTTAAATTGTAGTCTTTGCTCTCTGTAAGACATAAGCACATGAAAAATAACTAGTGATATAAGGTAGTCAGTGACAAGTTACTATATTTTAAGTTCTCTGTGGGTAGAAGTGCATCTCATTCATCACTGTACCCCGTGCCTGTGCATACTTGGTGCTCAACAAATATTTATCAGATGAATGAATGGCATGCCAGAGAAGGAGCAGGGGGAATGAGAAATAGAAGAGCTTCGCCAATAGGGTTATTTAGCAAAGATTTAATTTCCTACAGGAGGTTGGACTGCAGGATTTTGATTGGTAGTAGAAATGCATTGAGGAAAAAGTTTGAGAAAAGATATACTATTTCACCGTCTGCTGTGCCACTTCATATTCCTAATATCTGATAAATCTTTAGGGCCCATTTAACCAAAAGAAATAAAAACACAACATACTGGCCTTTTAGAAGACATATGATATGGTTCCTTCAAGAACAATATTATACAACTTTTAATTATAAGGAAAGAGATGGTTTGTGTGAAATACAGGAAAACATTCTAAAAAACACTAGCTCTGTGGTGATCCCATATGTATTATTATTTTTAATTTTTTAAAAATAGGTTACAGTGTTTTTAAAGTGTAGTAAAATCGAAAAAGAACAGTGAACTAGCAAGTTCCAAATCATGAAATTTCTAACACTAGTTTCAAAATAACTCATGCATTTGATTTTTGAATATTTAGAATTACTTTAATATTACTCTATTTCTGTTATTTTTAATATAAGAAGTTTTCTAATATTGATTTTCTTGCTCTGATAATTTTGTACTGATATTTACTTATAAAAACCATTAAGGGGGTTATTATCTGCAAGAAAAATCAGTGATGGTTATATGAGGTAGTTAAAAAAGTGAATCAAGGTCTAATACAACTGAAAATTGCAAATTGTAGCAGTTATTACCATAACATTAGCAACATCTAAAGCTTACAAGGCTAAGGTGACAATAAGAGATAATGATATAATGTCAATCTCATAATGCAATAAATGGAAAACCAGGGCATTAGGATTAAAAGATGATAAAATGAGTTTCTCTCTGACTTTTATTTTCATATATGCTTTGGAAATATTGGGGGTTTTGACAACTGATAGCATTCCATGTATCATTCTATATATTCTTTAAAATGTCTAATTTGGTGGTAAAATTGCTTTAATAGAAATGCAATCTCTTTTTGTTATAATAGCTTTTTCTTTAGCCTAATGAAGAAAGCATAAGAGTGCTTGATCCCTATACGTAATGCTTTCAGGAAAGAGGCCAAGCTAGACCACTGAATCCATTCTTTATAAATGAGCTTTTCAACAGAAAAAATAAAAATGGACCCTGGAAGGATCAACTTAGTGATTCTGAGTTATGCCTCTCCATGAGTTAATTCCTTCATCTGACTTTTATTGATTGCTTGATAGTAATAAGAAAAAGAATAACATGAATACTTTACTATGTACCAGTCAGTGAGGTATTTTACATTCACTGTATTATTTAATTCTCACCACAATTCTATGAGGTGGAGCTTATTCCTCTCTTTCTCTTTGTTTGAAAAGGAAAATGAGCAGTTGAGTAGCTTAAAGTTACCCAAGTTTGCCCAGCTAGCTAAGAGCCAAAGAGTAAAAAAAGGGAGGAGTATGGCGCCAGACTGCTGGGGTGAAATCCTACCAGTTCTGTCCGTTTAGAATCTATCTGCCCATGGGCAAGCAATCTTTTTATGTTTCAGCTTCTAAATCTGTCAAATGTGTATAATAACAGTGGCTACTTCATAGGATTATTGTGAAGATTAAATGAATTAACAAATGTACAGAACTCAGAACAGTTTCAATACCTATAAAGTAGTAAACACTAATAATATAAGGGAGTTAGATACTATTCCTACCTCTATAATGTACCAAAGACCAGCACAATCTTAGGTAGCATTAGGAACAGGTGTGTCCCCGTTAGCGATAAAAATGAAAAGCTGAAATATACAGCCATATCTTCATAAAGGTGGGGCAGTGGAGCATACAGGTAGACATATTGTGGGCTGAATAGTCAAAGTTTCAGGGAGAAATGAGCAACAGCATAGAATTGCTAAACCTTTCCATTAGCTTCATTGTGGGATGCCAAGGTAAGAAAATAGCAGTCATGTATATGCTGAAGATCTTTAAATAAAATTTTCATATTCTCCCTAAGAACACATACAGTGATAGAGCTGGGTATTCTGATGATCAGACTAAGATATCAAAAGTTAAAGACCCTACATTACAGAACTATTTGGTGTCAGAAGTAGCAAATATTTTAGTAATAAATAGCACCGAAGAGAACACTTAGGGCTTAGGGCTTGAGAATTTCAGTTATACTAGAAGCATTTGTCTAGTCTGATTAATATTGATTTTTATTCTGTCTTGCTACATGATAAGTATTTACTACTGTACAAGAATGTACTACTTATTTCCCCTAATGAAGAGCCCTTTTCCAAACTGGGTGGATGTGACAGCAAATACTGTCAGCATTAGGATATGTGATATTCTTCCACATAGATTTGACCTAAGACTATAGGGAATTATTAAAATACAAAGGTAATTATTTAATTACCTTTTAATCATTTAATTATATCAAGCCTCAGCATACTAAGATTGTAAATTTTTTCCCCAATTTTCTTGAGTAAAATAATATCCTTTCTGTGCTCTTGCAATTGAATAAAAAGTGGTCATAGAGATGATAACTGTTGAATAACTCCTTCGTTCTAGCTCATAGAGATAATGCTTTTACTCCTAGAGCCTGACTTGGTCATCTCCTCCACTTTCCAGGCAATGATGCCCTAAAAAGATTAACCCCATCTCTGGGGTTGCAGCCAATTCTTTCAATGGATGCCAAAAGTTCACCAAAAAATTCAATTGTCAAATTGTGTCCCTAATGGAATAAGATTTTTGTTTACTTTAGATTATGCAGTTGAGAAAGTTGTGTCTAAGTACACTGGCAGAATATAAAGTGTCATTAAGACTTGGTGTCACTGCTTCCTGCTTTGCTACATAAAATGTATTCTTCATTACAAAGCGCTCTCACATTTTCAGTATGCGGTTTTTCACAGTAATTTTCTAATAGGAGGTATAATAAAGGCCAAATCAATTTTGTTACAGCAGCAGAAACTAACACCAGTTATCCTCTCAGAGTTAGTAAACTACATGCGCCAAATCCGTTTTTCACCCTTCCCTGGTAACAGTATACTTCACATGCAAATTAACAAATTAGGCAGTTTTCACAGATTCCATTTCCTCAGATTTAAAGCTTGATAAAACAGTACATGATATTCACATTAAGATACACAGGCAATGAAGTCTACGATGATAGGATGTTTTTGTGTTTATTTGCTCTCACAATTGTTTTATTTATTTTTATTTGTTTTTCAATTTTGTTCCTTCTATATATTTGCCCTGATAATTGTAGGTAAATTGAAATAATGGACTATGAAATTCAATAACCTTATCTGAAGCCAGTTACCTCCAAAGTGACACCAGTAAAATTACTTATCTTATTACTAGATAGGATGTCTAATTACTCAAAATAATAGGATGAAGCTGGGTACGGTGGCTCATACTTGCAATCCCAGCTATTTGGGAGGCTGAGGTGGGAGGATCACTTAGCCCTGGGGTCTGAGGCTACAGTGAGTTATGATCACGCCACTGCACTCCAGCCTGGGCAATAGAGGAAGACTCTGAGACTACTACTACTACTACTACTAATAAACAATGAGATGATATTAGTAAACTATCTTTATCAGTACTGAGTGTGGAGAGAATTGTTGTCAGCAAGGCTTCCAAAGAACCCTTGAACCCAGCATTTAAGCATCACTAAGAGTTGACCACGGGGTTAGTGTGGATTGAAGGATGGGGAAAGGGCATTGTAGTCACAGGGAATATGAAAAGCCCAAGGCATTGACTACCTTAATGCTGTCATGGCACATTATGATAATTTTATGTACTTATCTATGGCAGCATAAAAGTATAAAGGTTGAACATTGTATAACACCTCAGAAATCTAAGCTCTTCAAGAAACTGTGAAACCACAGCAAAAATTTTGGTAGAAGATCAAATATATGTTTGTGAAGATCAGATGGGCAGTACTGTAGTAAGTGGGCTGGGAGAGAATATCAAGACTATTCAGAAGGTCATTGCTTTAATTTGGGGAGAAATTAGGAGAATTTGAACTAAGGAAGTGCAGTGAAGATGGAGAGAGAATTTAGATTCTTAGAGAGTAGAATTTGTGGAACTTGGTAACGAATTGATGGATTGGTCTTCACAGGTGAGAGAAAAGGACACAGCATCCTCTTGATTTATTGGATAGCCTTGGTAAGGATAAACAAGCAAAGTTAATTCTATAATATACAGGTTGATTTTGGGGTACCTACGGACCATCTGGGAAAACCGTTTAGTAAGCATCATGTATTATGAGTCCAGAGTCTGGGTGGAGTCTGGTTTACAGACTCTCTTTCTCTCCCAGAGAAAGAGAGAGGAGGGTTAGAAGAGAGGAGGACTGGGTATAGAGGTATAGGGAATGACAACTTTTAATAAGATGAATAGCTAGGAGTAGCTGCCAGAAAGCTAACAGGAATGCCCTGAGAGAACAATATCACAGAATATGACAGCTGGAATAGTGTCAAGAAGGAGGAAGTGATCTAGGTGGAAATGAAACAATTTATTTTTAAACATTACTAATTTTAAAGAGAAAGTTGATATATTAACCTGCAACTCTATTTATATCTCTAATGGCCTGCCCTTTCAAGAAAGGAAATTTCAGTTACTTTCTTGAACAGTAATTTGCATCAAATAGGACATCCTTGTTTTTAAAGAAGTATTAATCTTTTATTTTAATAAAAATGAGTGTTGTTCTACTAGGCTAAGCATAAATTGTCAATCACACTGAAATTATATGGGTAACCTTTATCTATATATTTTATTTATTTTAGCATACCCACTTCTTACTTCAAGTACACTTATATTAAAGATGTTAAATGTATAAATTTAAAAAAGTAATAGAAGAATTTATTTTACAGATTCTTAAATTCTAAACTAAATCATTTTTCAGTTTGCAGCATAGTGTGTGACGTAGCAACACCTAATGGCCAGGTATGATATTACAGCCTAGCTATGTTAGACACTGTAAAGCCCCTGACAAAAGAAGGTGTGTAATACAGTCTTGGGGTATGAAACTCAAGAAAGTATCTAAACATACTTAAAATTTCCTTGGTCTGAGTTGTGACAGCAGAGAGAAGACCTCAGCATTGACGATATCCTGGAAAAGCATGGGTAAATACAAACATTAAAAGTCTTCACCAAAAACAAACATAATTCTTATGTTGGGGAGGGCTATATTTGGTTTACACTTGATGGGATCTAGCTAGAGAGTACTAGAAAGAAGACAATCTTTAATAAACACCCTTCTGCAGTAGACATAACACTGCACTTATCTCCAAACCAGGATTTATCCCGAAGATGTCCCTGAGACATGAAAGGTGTTGAGATAGACACTCTTATGTCTCATTATTCCTTCCACAGAGGGTTACATTTTTACTCCCATGACAGAGATTTGTATCCTTCAGGGCTAAATGTTGACTACATTAGTGGAAAGAATCAGAGGGCTGAATAAGAACATCAGCCACTTGTCAGGTAGGGAACATCAATAGTCTACAGAGGCTAGATTACATTATCTAATGGTCCTTAGCTTCTTTTCATAGTCCCCTTTGCGTATTAGAAAAACATTATGGATTCTTTCTCCACAAAAATACACATACTCATAATTAAAATTCTGTACATAATTTTTAGGTAATCTCAGGACTGTACCTTAGAAGTTGAGCTCTACATGTGCTTCATGAATACTGTGTAACTGCACGTGGATTCTCCAAGAACATGGAAACATAAGGTTTGTTTTCTAGACATTGTCTTTACCATTAACCCTGATAGCATACAGTTAAGCTGTAAAAGTGATGACATATCCACATTCTTAAAACACTTACAGTGCTATCTACCTGTTTAATTTTAACAATGTTAAAAGGGGGTGTTAGGCCAGGCACGGTGGCTCACGCCTGTAATCCCAGCACTTTGGGAGGCTGAGGCGGGCAGATCATGAGGTCAGGAGATTGAGACCATCCTGGCCAACAAGATGAACCCCTCCCTCTACTAAAACACAAAAAATTAGCCGGGCTTGGTGGTGGGCGCCTGTAGTCCCAGCTACTTGGGAGGCTGAGGCAGGGGAATCACTTGAACCCAGGAGGCGGAAACTGCAGTGAGCTGAGATCATGCCTCTGCACTCCAGCCTGGCAACAGAGCAAGACTCCATCAAAAAAAAAAAAAAAAAAAAAAAAAAAAAAAAAAAAAAAAAAGAGGTGTTAATAATGATATAACAACACACGTTCCTTCTTTTGGCTGAAAGTTTCAAAGTGCTTCATAAAGTTGTATTATATTTTACATGGGAGATATTTGGGGCACAGACATTCAAAGACATATTTAACTCACAAGCACAGAACAGATTTCAGCAGCTCTATCTAATTAAATCTCATCACAGAGAAGGAAGAAAAGGATTCTGTAGAACGTTACTACTCCTTCATATTTTTGTTTGTTTGTTTCACCCAGAATCAAACTATCTCCAGTTAGCTATATGGACAAATTCAGCAATATGTGGTCATGTGCACGAGTGTTGTTATCATCACATTGATAAAATTTTGGGACAGGCCAGCGATGAGGAACACACATGGATACTACTGCTTTGTTTTTTGTAAGAGCTGGCGTGAATGTTCAGGGAATTGGGGACTTAATAAAGTGCTGGTCCTCAACAGATATGCATCCCAACACCCTCCACCAGCTACACCTAACCTGTATTACTGTGCTTCATCTTCTTTCCCAAGACACAAGACTTTGACCTGGAGTGGTCACTCCAACATAATACACCCCAACTACCTAACAGATGTAAATAAAAAGACTGGCAGAGTATGCTCTGTTTCTCCAGACCACTCTTCCTGACTAGGCAAAGTATAAATTTCTTGGATGAATCCACTATAACTTTCATAATACATTTATCTTTGTGCATTTATGTTTTCAAAATATGTTTTCAAATGAATAGGTGTTGAAAAGAAAAAGTCCTAAGGTGATCAAAGACTGGTATGGCTTCTCCAGCCTTCCCTCCAGTCTTATCAATAAATCATTTGCAGTAAAATGGAAAATATAACAAGTCTGAGAAAGAGATGGTATTCAATTTCTAAGGATCCTTCTGCAGCACAATTTTAACAATAACAAGCAGGATATTTTCCTGTTCACCATTTCATTCAAGCACTCTGCACCAAATTTAATGGTTACCGACGCTTTATCACAAGGATATTTGCACCTATTTACAGAGGTTTACTTCTGAAGTTTCATTAATTGTCAAAGAAGTACACCTCGCTCTTGGAAATCTGTACTCATTTACCAGGAGTCAACACTGACTTAATTTATGTTTTTAGATTAGATAGTGATAAACCCCACAAAAATGGTTTTCTTGACTTGTAATCATATTTGAAATTACCACCTTCCTTGTTTGTAATTTCTGATTTTGCTATTTTGAGGTTTACTTGAGGCCAACTCTTGACTTATCTCAAAAGTATAATAAAATGATACAGTGATAGTCCTAGCTTCAAAGTACACTTAAGGATAAAAAGACATCAAGTTTGCAACCACTGTTAAGTTATTAAGAGAAAAATGCATGCATGCCTGCATTTGTGCATATACATTCATATGGGCGGGGGGAGAGAGAGAGAGAGGGAAAGAGAGAGAGGAAGAGAGAGAAAGAGAGAGAGAATGCTACAGCTAATTCAGAAAAAATGTTACTATCTGAGGAATCTGGGCGGAAGGTATAAGGAAATTCTTTGTGCTATTTTTTGTAGCTTTTACTGTAAGTCTAAAATTATTTCATAATACAAACTTTAAAAAAATCTAAGTTTTGAGGTTAAAAAGACATAAATAAGAAAATGAATCAAAGAATATACTCTCAGACACAATTACTATTTCCTTCAATCTTGTAAATCAACAATCAATACTCAAACACTTTTATTGTTTAATGTGGCTGGTCTATTGGCAACATATATTACAAAAACTATCATCTCTAAACTATATTAATGTTTTAGCTACAGTTATCATCAATTATTTAAGACCTACTTCCTAAGCAGATTGTTAGGCTAGAAAGCAAGATTTTCAGAGAAGGTAGGGAGAACTATGGAAAGGGAACAAAAAATAATTTTACACTAGTAAGAGAATGCTTTCTGAGTGGTCTAGAAACCCTGAGTGTATGTATTTAAGAGAGTATTCTTCTCTTTAGTGCCTATACACCAGAAATGGTATGGCCAAAAGAGGCAGCTTTCCCCCAGTGTATGTATATCAGCAAAATAAAGGAACAAGTTATTGAAATATTGGCCCAGCTAGACTTTCTTCCATTAACAATCAGTTGAGACACATTTTTAAAGCAACAGCTTAAATGAATGGCTGTGTGTCTGTAATAATTTTGACTTAAAATGTCAACTGGATTTGAGATGCCATGTGCATTTAATCAATGTCTCTATATTGTAAAATAAATATACTTCAGCGTGACTGCTGTGCCAGCCATAAATCATAATTCACAAAGAGAAGAACATCTTATCCTCTCTATTGATAGTTGTTAATGACAATGCTGATTAAAATGGCATCTGCCTGCCATATTATTGTTAAACAGTCTATTAGAATTTCTATTACATCCTATAACCTACCACTATTTCCCTATGTGCTGATACGTCTCTTATGGAATAAAACATGATAGACAGTTAGATTTAGAGTTTAACACTTAAAATGCAAAACTGAAGAGCAGAGCTCACTAGTACATTCTAACACATATTATTTCCAAAATTAAGAGGGTTCCTTCCAGCAGAGATTCCAGTGATCAAGGTAGTGTTCAAGGACTTGTTCCTCTCTTTTAGAATTAATATTTGAGTCTCCCTTCCTTCCTTCTTTCCTTCCTTCCTTCCTTCATTCCTTCCTTCCTTCCTTCCTCCCCCCCACCCTTCCCTCCCTTCCCTTCCTCTCTCTCTCTCTCTCTTTCTTTCTTTCTGATGGAGTCTCACTCTGTCGCCCAGGCTGGAGTGCAGCGGCGTGATCTCAGCTCATGGTAACCTCTATCTCCCGGGTTCAAGCAATTCTCCTGCCTCAGCCTCCCAAGTAGCTGGGATTACAGGCATGCCACCACATTTGGGTAATTTTTATATTTTTAGTTTCACCATATTGGCCAGGCTGGTCTTGAACTCCTGACCTCAAATGATCTGCCCGCCTTGGCCTCTCAAAGTGCTGGGATTACAGGCGTGAGCCACCACACCCGGCCGAGTTTTTCAAAATAAATATTTTGGGCAAAAAAGAAAAAAAACTACAGGAGAAAAAACATTAATTGTCATTTGAATGTCACATGAGCCTATGGAAGCAGCTGTAAGTAAAAACTGATTGTTAGTTACTATTTCCAGAATGGATTTCTCACAATCAAGAATTAGCTCAGCAATCCATTGTTGAATGTACACTATGAGCAAGGCAAGAACAGCAGCAAATTTGGTGCCCAACATTGTAGAATCACTGGGGAAGGGAATTAGATAGAGTCCCACTAACCAGGATGAAAAATGGCGAGGAAAATCACACAAAAGCACAGAGGCTGACTTAGAGAGGTCAGCCAGGTAGTCTAGAAGCAGTCCATCCAGGTATACTCTGCCAGCTACACAGACCATAGCAGTAAGGAAGGCAAATGACAGATAAATACTTTAAAGTCAGATAAGATACACAAGGTTCAAAGAAAAAGGTCCTACAACTGTGGATGTATAGGGTTGAAAGACAGAATCAAGTGTTCTAGAGATGGCCCATCAGAAATAAGCAAGCTCTACTATGCCAGTGCTCTAGTCTAAGAACATGGACTTCAGAGTGGGGCTCATGCAGGACTGAGGATTCTAGGCAATGCTACGGGAGCGGATTCCAGAGTAGAAGCCGACATGCTAGGGAGGTAGTGCTTTGTTTAAGAGGCATGGTTGCTCAGTGCTCTACTGGTTTATTGAATTCTGTAGCTGGGTGACCAGATGCCAGATGTAGAAAGCATTTATACCAAGCTGGCCAAGGTCACGGGAGAGGCTATTGAAAATCAATCTGTCTCTGTGTTTAGTTCACAGAGGACCAGGAGGAACCTGAAAATGAGGCCATATATGTGAGAGGATATGAGAGGAAGGGAAAATGTGGCAAAGGCGGAGGTACTGAGGAGAACACAAAAATGGTAAGATGTGGTTCTTGTCTTTCAAGTGATGACAAAAATGGTGGAAAATACCAAGATGATCCAGACTAGCTCTAATGCCAGTCTAGAGGAATCAGGCCTGGCCATGACTTCTCCATAAAGTGTGGCCTGAGCTTGTTGTTGACACTAAGATGCTGGGTGAGGTGGAGTTAGAAGGCTGATCAAAGGATTGCAACTCTCAGGAAAGGGAGTTTGATCAGCCCAGGGGATGAGAATTACTTACCATGTCCCCATGTCTGCATTTGTTGGAATAATTCTTTGGCACCTTTGCTCGTTTTTAACAATGCAAGAACTATTGTTTGTATAAATGTTAAATGCTAAAGGGATTACCCTTTAGTTTTCTGTGAGTTTCTCCCTCTCCCCATCACAATATAGGGAAAGAAGCTGTATTGAAAATAGCAAAGTAAAATTAAAATGAAAAGGTAGGATACACAGGACAAATATTCTGGTAGCAAGTTCTAGTTAACCTGTCAAAGATCCTTTCCAAAAGTGCGATAGTCGTCATATCACTCGACATTTAATGCCCTCATAGTATGGGAATAACAAAGACATGACAGAGCTAGGGAGGGGACAATGACATCCTGGTCTGGTATAGTGTTTCTGGGTCAAAGGTCTAGGAAATTGGTCAAAGTCCTCCATCTTTCATTTTATAGTCCATCTTTTTCATAAAAGCTGTTCATTCCCATACTTTGAAAATTCCAGGAGGCATAAAGAAAGCAGAACAAATCTATGATATTGATTTTTTACTATACATTGACTAGAGTTCAAATTTAAAGTGGAAAATTACAGTCCCTGGGGGAGAAGAAACCTATCAATGGGAGGAACCTCATACCAAAAGCCCTAGAATTAGGGTTTTTACTGTTCGCTGGTGGGTTTGTCTGCAATCAAAGTTGCAACCATTATTTCTGGTCGATGTTCCCTCCAGCTCTTTCTTTTTTGAGTTTTGAATTATATAATATTTTTAAGAATTCTTTTGTTGGCAAGTGGGATGCTGCTTTTAGTTATTCTCTGCTGAGACATTTCTACTTTAATTTCCAGAGCTATGTGGCTTTTTCTAATACCAAGAAAGCCTTAGGAGAACAGACAGCAGCTCAAGTTAAAGAAAGCACAAAAAAACTCAGATAACAGAAAAGTTCACTCAAGCTTCCTTTTATACTGTCCACTCTTTCATATACATTTTAAATTTGTTGTATATGGTTTTTAAATTTGTAGCATTAAAAATATTTACTTTTAACTTTCATTTTATTTTTCAGAGAATTTTTATGACTATATACACTGGCATGTAAACAAAGAATGGTGAGGGAAGGAAGAAGAGAGAGGAAGGATCAGATAAAATTGGGTATGCAGAATAGGGTGATCGACTGGCCCACTTTCCTTAAACTGAGGAGTTTCCTGGGGAAGAGATTTTCAGTGTTCAAAGTGGGATGAGTTGGTTACCCTAATTCAAACCAAAGGGCACCATGTGTATGACTATATTTAAAGGCTATATTTTCCATTTTGACAAGTTAATAGTCTTGGTCTATTTTCCTGAATTCAGTGCCATTTCACTTTGTGAAACTGACTTTCCAGCTAACCAATCCCATTCTATTTTAGCCCATAGACATATCTACCCTGTAATCAGTTTCAATCAGTGACCAAATACATGATGACCATGATGATAATTTATACACATATTGCAGGTAGGTAAGAAGTATGCATCTTCCAGATGAAGAAAAACTTTCATTCAAGAAGGCAGTTACAGAATTAAGGTTGGAAATCCAGACATCTTACTATTCAGTATCTTTACTGAGTACACTGCAAGTGGTTTAACCATCATTTATGTAATTCAAGGATGCTCTGGTTATCTAAAGGGGTTTAGTCAATTTTATGGCATTTTAATATTACAACTTATATGCCCTACCACACTTTGAGGAAAGGTTGTGGGCACTAGATTTTGAGTATAATGAAAAGACATCTGTCTTGTTCACTGTGGTATCTCCCAACCAAGTACTAAGACTATACTTATTAGGTAATCAATATTTGTTGGATGAATAAAAGACGATGTTAGAAAAAAATAAAAGATTAGTTTCATATTTATCACAACATGCTTGCTGTGTACTTAGCAGTTGTTTGCTCAATAGTATTGAATAACTTATTTCAGAAAAGATCAGAGATTTCTCCATTTTACCTAGAAATGCTGTTGGAAAGAGGACACTGAAAATTCACTCATTGAAAAAAAGGCCTGGAGTAGGTTTTTCAGGAGTAGAGAGGTAGAGAAGGGCACATATCCGAATTTAAACTCCAATTATGGTGATAACCTAACAGTTTAGCTCTTACTTTTAAATCCTATTTTCACTGCTAATGATTTCATATTTATGGGTCATCTTAATTAGATACGGAGTTTAAGTAAAAGGATCATGTTGTACATTTTTTTCTGGGTTTTCCCAGAGAGTAGTGCTTAATAGATATTCAAATAATGAGCTGATTGGCAAATCTTTTTCATATCATTTTAGATGGATATTTATCCTTCCTATTTTTAAAGTACTTCAGGGAGGTCAATTCTACAACCTGTTCAGAAACCTCATTCCAGTGCTTAAGAACTGTCTTCTTTTTTATATCTAACCTCATTTCTTCCCGTTAGTGATTTTGGCCCATTTTCTCTAGCACTGTCCTCAGTGGAAATGGAGAACAGCTAGTTACTATTGCCAGTTAACTCATCCTTCAACCTTTTCTTCAAGCAGAAATTAAAAAAAAATAATTAACTCCCAATGCAGCTCACCCTCTTTCTTATTTTTGAACCACTTCCACTGTTTTCATTATTTTCAATACTATTACCAAGAATGACTAAAGGGGCACAACACATTAATATCCAAATAAATCTACTCCAATTAGCACACCATATAAACCAGTCAGTCATTCAGCAAAAGATTATTAGGGGCCAAAACAGAGAAAAACATTGCAGAGGAAGTCCCTCTGCTTAGAGGAATTTACAATTTCATTAAGGGCACGAGACAGATGTGTAAACTCAAAACTAAAAACCAAGCAGGCCTACAGGAAGTACTCAATGGAAAAACTCAGACTGTAAGAAAAAATTTGATGGGAAGGAGAGAAATGCAAATCAAAGAATTCATAAAGGAGATGGGGCTTGAGGTGGCTTTCAGAAGCCTGGCAGGCCTCAGGGGAAGACGGTCATTCTAAGTGATGGTATTATCTTAAGGCTTCACAAAGCTTGTTTTGGGTAACAGTGAAGAGAGTAAGAGTGAATAATCTGGTTAGAGTGGAAAGTTGGAGAGAGAAACGCTAAAACAAACAAACAAACAAACAAACAAACTGGGACGAGAATATAGAGGGCATTGAATGCCAAACTAAATAGTATGATTTTTCTAGAGGTCCCTGGGACTGGCTGCATTACAATCATCAGCGATTCCCAGGCCTCATATCAAACCTAATGAATTAGAGTCTCTGATAATGAAACCCAGGAATCTATAACAAGCTCTGTAGATGATCCTAGGGTACAGACAGACTTTGAGAACCACTAGGTAACTGGGAAACATCTCGGCTCCCAAGGCAGAATACTATGAATGGATTATGTTTTAAGAACTTGCTATGTGCCAGACATTTATCATCTATTATCTCGTTTAGTCTCGGGGCCACTCTATTAGGTAGATGCTATTATTTCAATTTCACAAGAGAGGAAACTGAGGCACAGAGTGGGTAAGATGAAAGACTAACAGCTAGAAGGAAGTAGAGCTGGATTTGAGCCTAAGTAGAATAGTTCCAGAGCTGCTCTCTTTGCTACTACGTTACATTGCATTTTTGTGTGGAAAGCATTCATTAAATATCTAATAACTGAACAAACGAATGATTGGTAGCTATGCCTAGAATGAACAGGAATGAAGAAATGAATAAAGCAGGCAAATCAGTTAGTAAGTTATTGCAACAATCCAGTTATCAATGACAAATTGAATTAGAGTGGTGGCAGTGGAAGTGGAAAAGAAGGGCCAGATATAAGAGACAGTATTTTGTGAATATCAAGATTGTTGACTGACGGAAGGGTGGAGATGGGAAGGGGGAGGCATCCCGGACATCACGGGATTCCTGGCAGTGCCTCAAACAGAATTGGGAGAGTCAGGATGAGCTGGTGACTTAGATGGGTAGATTCTGAATTAGATTTTAGACATGTTGAAGCTGAGGTTGTGGCAGGGCCACTGTGCAGAAATGATCAGCAGTTAGCTGGAGAAGCAAAATTGGACTGTCTCCAAAATCCTGGTGGATATTATTTAGCAGGATTGAGATAATAGTCCTCAATGTGCAATGAAATATTTGTATATCTCCTATCTATTTTTCAATGTATGTATCTCTTATCTGCTTTTAATTGTTCTGGGAAACCTCTTTTCTATTCTGTGAGGAAAACAGTTACAGTTATTATTTCAAAGATTCAGGTCTCCTTGCTTCATTAGGAACCATCTCATGTTACTAAATTGCTGGTTTGATGTTGCCTTGTCAGGAAAATCCAACGGATGGCAAAAATAAGTATGGGTGCTACAGAGTGTAAGAAAGTATACACTGAAGCGTGGTTGGTGTCCATGCATTTTTAGATGCTGACACCATAGGAACAAAAGTCAAAAGGGGTTTTTGTATCACTATCAGTTCACAGGCTCTCGGGAGGCTGCTTCACTTCTCAGTGTCTCATTCTTTATTATACGCAAAGCAAAGCTATTTGCCACATTCATCTCTCATGCATCTTGAAGATGGATGTTAGTAAATTACATTGAAGTTCTCAGATAAAAGGTACTAAACAAAGAACGGATTCCATTTGCCCCCCAAGCAAATTATTAAATCTATACATGTCATTATCTAATAGTATTAAGTAAACATCCCACAAGGACATGACATTGACCTGGACACGGAACAATGTAAATTAGGCAAATACAGTCCCACCAGGAACTCAGGAATGTTTACATGTATATGAATAAAACTATCATTAATATATTTTATTAGTTATTTAATATGAGTATGCAAATAGGTCCATTAGGAAATATTTTGCATTTTATTAATCCAGCATCTTAAATAAGCATATTTAACCTCAAATGCTAATGAAGTTTATTTATTAAAGTGTATCTTCTACCTTAGTGCCTATGAAAGTTCCTTTTAGCATATCCATTTCTTTAAAAGTTAAGCCAATATTTTATCCACTGGACTTCTGTTCTGATCTGTTAACAAATCTAAACCTCATTATCCAAGAAAAGTAATGAGATAAAGGGGTCTATCCTTCTTCAGTGTTCTTTGTAATTCACATTAACGTTAATGGGAGCTGTGCACGCATATTAGGAGAAGAGAGTTTGAATCAAATAAATAAGCCTTTTGGTTGACACTCTATGTGGTCATTTTTTATTGTGATAAGTATGACAAAATCATTTTACCGCTTTGGACAGCCGTAAACAGAGTTGCACAGCAATCAAGATTACATAGGGTAGGAGGGGAAGGCATGGCAGCAGCAATCAGATTTTTAAATGATTTTGAAAACAAGGTTCCTGTACATTTTCATACCAATTAACCCCATCCATGCCCTTGCCCCTCCATGAACATGTGCTCAAAAAACAGAAGGATAAACAAACATTTGCAGATATGCTTGACAGCTGGAAAATATTATTAAACTCAGATATTAAGCGAACTCTGTGTGCTGGGTGCCACGGCAGCTCATCTGTCTTTGTACTCAGCCCATCAGATGAGTAGCCCATCTGTCTCTGGGTCCTCTTTTAGCTAAGAAATAAATGCCAACCAAACAATCCTAAATGTGCTTGATCTAAATTTAATCTATACTTAACTTTTTAGTTATCATACTTGCATCTATCGCCATCATTTTATATCACTTGCCCTATTCACATAGCACTCTCTCTCATTTTTTTACATTCTCATGTTCACAATCTATCCATATTATGGTTCTAGTTCTTCTCTCTGGTGCTTAGTTGCAAGCCAACAAAAGCAAGGATGTATACACATAAACATATAAATATTATCAGTGATCACACCACTGGGTTTAACACAAGTCAATATCAGTATATTATACTCTCTACTTTGCAATTCCATTATAGGCTCAACACTGCTGGTCATAAAAAGTAGTATTCTGGGCCCAGGCCTGTGATAGTAATAATGGAAAAAAAAGGGTCATTGCTCTTTCCAACCCGAATGAAAAATTAAAATTGCTAGGGCATTTAGCTCAAAGGAAAATTGGCAAATTAACAAAATGAAGAAACAAAATATTCATGGCTCACATTGTGAAAGAGAAAGTAAATAATTTAAGATGGGCTGAAGAGAGAAAATTCAGAGTTACCAAAGAGATAAAAATTGAGCCTAACTCAATTCCAACATGGTTTAGCATCGATTTCTTTTCCTCTGTAATTGTAGATAACCATGGAGAACAATGGATGGCTGCATGGGTGGTGGCCTTCGACATGCAAATTTCTATTTTTTGCCATGGTCATATATTTGTCTCAGTCTCAGTGTATGCAGCCGTCTTACCCTGATCTGTAAGGCTCTCTGTTGTCAATGTATTTCTCCACCTAGCTTGAAGTTGAATTAAGAACTCTGACCCACTTTGGCTTTCATTTTTCATCTGAAATTTCATGTTTCAAACCGGCCTCTACTTCATGAAGCAAAGCACCTTAACTCTAGCCTGTTGTTGGCCTTTTGCCTTTGGGGAAATGAGTGTTAAAATTTCATTGGCCTGGCTACATTGGCTCAGTTACCCTTCATACCCATAAAGTTGAAGGGATACCCAGGCATTTTACAATCACTATCTGGAAAGAGGTAATGACAGGCTGCGGCCACATTACATTTATTGTACATGAGACCTGTAACAGCTGTTATGGGATCAAGGTAAAGAGGAGAAATGTATGACAGATGTCATGTTCCCTGGTGACTTAAGTATTCAGTCTCTATCTAACCTAATTTAAAAACCAAGTCAAAATGTATCTTTATGGGTAATGTATTACAGGACAACCTCAGAGCAGCCTGATGAAATAACTATGAGCCACGCATTAAGAATACCAAGTCCAAACCCACCTACACACTCTGGGCTGAAATACATAAAGAAAGAAAGAAAAGCAAAACAAAACAAAAAACTGTTTTATCCTTTTGAGACCCTTTCTATTTGTATTCTGCAATAGAAGGTTTTGCTTTTCACCAAGTGATTAAATAACCTTTGAAAACAGTTCATGGTTACATTGAGAAAGGGGTGACCCAAAGCTTATAAAATATAAATGATTGAATGATTTTAGCTATGTCATTTCTTTTCTTTATGTAGTTTATTATGCTAGGCTAGAGAATAGGCATCATGCCCAACTACATTACAAAACAGCAGTTAGAGGTAATCTAAAATCTGAAAGAAAAAGTTAGTGGGTTCCAAACGTATCTTGCTTGAGACAAAGGTAATATTTGACGGTCTTGGCTGTCTGAAGTGGAGCCAGAGGGGGAAGACAAGAGGTAATGTCTATCATTCCTTAAAAGAAGACATACCAATAGCCAAGAAATACATGAAAAACTGCTCAGTGATATCACGAATCATCAGGGAAATGCAAATTAAAACCACAATGAGACATCACTGCAAACTTGTTAAAATGGTTATTAACAAAAACATGAAAGATAAGTGTCGGCAAGGATGTGAAGAAAAGGGAGCCCTTCTACACTGTTGGGAATGTAAATTATTACAGCCATCATGGAAAACAGTGTGGCCGTTACTCAAAAATTTAAAAAGAACTACCATATACTCCAGCAATATCACCATTAGGTATTTAAAGGAAATGAAATTGGTATGTCGAGAAGATATCCGCACTCTCATGTTAATTGCAGCGCTATTCACAACAGCCAAGACATGGAATCAACTTAAGTGCCCATCAGCAGATGAATGGATAAAGAAATGTGGTATAAACACACAACGAAATACTATTCAGCCAGCTGGGCATGGTGGCTCAAGCTTGTAATCCCAGCACTTTGGGAGGCCAAGGCGGGCAGATCACGAGGTCAGGAATTTGAAACCAGCCTGACAAACATGGTGAAACTCCGTCTCTACTAAAAATACAAAAATTAGCCGGGTGTGGTGGCAGGCACCTGTAACCCCAGCTACTCAGGAGGCTGAGGCAGGAGAATCACTTGAACCCGGGAGGCGGAGATTGCAGTGAGCTGTGATCACACCACTGCACTCCAGCCTGGATGACAGAGTGAGACTCTGTCTCAAAAAAAAAAAAAAAAAAAAAAGAAAGAAAGAAAGAAAGGAAGAAATACTATTTCAGCCATTAAAAAGTAGAAAATCTTGTCATTTGCAGCAGCATGGATGAACCTGGGGGACATTATGTAAGTGAAATAAGCCAGACACAGAAAGACAAATACCATATGACCTCACTTATATGTGAGGTGTATAAAAGTCGAACTCATGGAAAGAGAGAATAGAATGATGGTCACCAGAGGCTAGGCTATGGAGGGGTTGAAGAAATGTTGGTCAAAGGATGCAAACTTTCAGCTAGACAGGAGGAATAAATTTAAGCAATCTATTATTCACCATGGTGACTACAGTTAAAAACAATATGTCTTGTACTTGAAACTTGCTAAAAGAGTAGATTTCCCAGCACTTTGGGAGGCTGAGGCAGGCGATCATGAGGTCAGGAGATCGAGACCATCCTGGCTAACATGGTGAAACCCCGTCTCTATTAAAAAAAATACAAAAAATTAGCTGGGCGTGGTGGTGGGCCCCTGTAGTCCCAGCTACTTGGGAGGCTGAGGTAGGAGAATGGCGTGAACCCAGGAGGCGGAGCTTGCAATGAGCCAAGATCGCGCCACTGCACTCCAGCCTGAGTGACACAGTGAGACTCTGTCTCAAAAAAAAAAAAAAAAAAAGAGTAGATTTTAAGTGTTCTCACCATGAAAGAAATAAGTATGTGAGGTAATGTATATGTTAGCTTGTTTTAGCCCTTCCACATTGTGTATATATATTAAAACATCATGTTGCATACCATATATAGACAGTTTTTACTTTCCAATGAAAAATAGATGATAGATAGATAGATAGATAGATAGATAGATAGATGGATAAGAAGTAATGTCTATCAAGTTAGGCACTACACTGACAGCTTTGCTTACCTAAACCGTTTAACTTAAATTTTACAACAACCTGGACAGGATGTGTTATTATACTTAGTTTGCTGATGAGGAGGTGACTGAAACTCAAAGGGACTCGTGAAGGCCGCAGAGCTTGTAAGGGATAGATTTTTAATTAGGTTCAGCATTAATTTGGTGGTAGTGAAGGCCACAGAGCTTCTAAGGGACAGATTTTTAACTAGGTTCAGTGTTAATTTGGCTAATTTGGTGGTGTGTTGTTTGTGGTGGTAGTGGTAGGTGTGATGTGTGTGTAGGAGTGTTCTTTTTAAAATAATTCACAGCAGGATGTCTTTATATAGAATTCCCCTAGTTTAAATAAAATAGATAGTATATTTTAGAATAAAATGAAGTAAACATATATGCCTTAAAATCTGTAAGGCTTAGGAACAAAAAGTTGATGCCTCTAGATTGTTAAAAATACCTTTGCCTCAAGGGTTCATGATTTAGCTTTGTCTGATGCTCCACTATGTAACCGAACTAGTCTATCTTTGAGGTATGCTTGCATTATCTGAGTTGAGAAGAAACAATAAAGAATATCCAGCTGATGAGGTAGGAGGAACAGAGTTGATCCAATCACCTGTAAACCAAGTTCACCATTTACATTAATGCCCACCTGTCTTAGAATGTGTACTGCAGGTATCCTAGGGTTTTGTGTACTAAAACAGACACAGTTTGGGTTAGTTTTTTGTTATAGCTCTATGTGGAGTTGGTTTAAAAATAACCTTCCCATATTTATAAGTTGCAAAAAAGAAAACAAAAGCAGGCATAAAGTGATTTGGCTTTAGTACCATAGTGTGCTAAATTCTGATAACGTATCTGCTGAAAATTCAGTGTAGCTTGGGCTGTGTGCAGTGTGCACTCTATTCTGCTGTTAGACCGTCACCAAGGGTGGGATGACACCATTCTTTCTGCTTTACCTTTTTCATAGCACCTACTACAATTTGGAATCGTATCAATTATTTTGGATTAGTTGTTTATTCTCTTCCCTTCACTGGAATGTAAATTCCGTGAGAGCCATGGCCTGGATGTCTTGCTTGACACCATGTAAATTGACCATTGATTCCCTCGAGCTGATGGGGTACTGGATTGTCCCTGAAATATCTAGTGAATATCCCCTTCACTCCCTGGGTAATCCACTGTTACAAATAGTTTACATGTTTATGTAATATTTTGCTTGTCTTGGGGTTTTGTTTTGTTGTTTGGTTTTTTTTTTTTTTTGAGACGGAGTCTCGCTCTCACCCAGGCTAGAGTGCAGTGGTGCTATCTCGGCTCACTGCAAGCTCCACCTCCCAGGTTCACGCCATTCTCCTGCCTCAGCCTCCTGAGTAGCTGGGACTACAGGCGCCCGCCACCACGCATGGCTAATTTTTTGTATTTTTTAGTAGAGACGGGGTTTCACCATGTTAGCCAGGATGGTCTCAATCTCCTGACCTCGTGATCTGCCTGCCTCGGCCTCCCAAAGTGCTGGGATTACAGGCGAGAGCCACCATGCCTGGCTGCTTGTTTTTGTTTTAATCTCACCACAATGAACTCAAAAGTTTTTATCCTTCCTTCCTTTATTAAGACAGGAAAAGTGCTGTTAAAGCAGGACTTGGTTGCTGTGTGTCAAGTGCCTAGAACAGTGCCTGATACAAAATAGGGCTTTAATAAATTAACTGATAAGTTTAATTATTGATTACAATAAATTAATAGATATAGCATAAAAATAATTATGAATGTGCTTGGCAAAGACAAGGCTTTCAATAAATGTTACTAATCAAATGATATGGGCAAACACATTTTAAAAGCAAAGATGAAGTTCCTATTGGCAGCGTTTGTACTTGGTTCTTCATTAGTCTAGTAAAAAGGAGTTTGCAAGGCATAATTCCTCTTAGGATCAAATTTTATAAAAGTTGTAGATAAGGGAATCTGAACCATATCAAACCTTTCCATTCAGTGTCCAAAATAAGTTGACAGTTCAAAGGTTTTTGAAGTGAGTGGCCTATAATATCAAAAAGAGACAACAGCAGCTATTATATAAAAAAAATGGATTTGAACATAAATCTATGACAGAATTTAGTTTAAGTAACATAAGGATTGACAAGGTTATTAAGTAAGAAATCAGAAACTAATCTCTGGGTTTTCCACTTTAGACAAGGTAAAATTTTCTTTGTCAAAGGATATTTCTCTTTGGCTCCTAGAAAAATCTGCTAGGCCCCAGGAAGGTGGCCTAGGACTGACAGCAATGGGCTTGTCTTTTAAAGGAGCTGGAGCTTCACCCTTTGGCTGAAAGGGGCATGAACAGTCTTTCTGCAGGTTAGTGCCATAAAGAGCACAATATGTATGGAACTCAAACATATAATGAAAAAATTTAAGCACAGAGCATACAGAGAAACTACAAAATTGGTAGGCTCTTGAGCTGCATATTTTTCCACAATAATAATAATAATTCATGGTCTATATAAGAATCACACTTGAATCATGCAAGGAGATAATTCTGAAATCAACAAAGTATAAGCATATTGGAATTAGACAACATGTATAAAGATATTAATTAAAGACATCCTCTGTAATTTTTTCAAAAGGATCAAGAGTAGGTTAAATTAAGAAGTTAAACTGTGCTACTACATATTATTGACACAAATGGACCAGCTAATATCAGAAAAGTGCAAACACTTAGCTTTTCACAAACAAGAACAAGAACACCACTAAGGCATTCACATTTTCATGATGCCAGCCTTGGTGAGGAAAGGGAGGCAGGATTTAAATCTTCATTCACCCCCTTGGCCAGGTGCCATTCTACATGGTATAACTGCATGACCCATCCCAATACCCTATCTTCAGGAGAGCATCTGAGAAACGCAGATAACGGAAAAAATAATACATACTTAAAACACACATCTAACTCCAAGAGAACCTTAAAGCAATCAATCTTTTTTTAAATAAGAAAGAAACTAAGTCAATAGCATCTGAGCAACAGATGAGAATTAAAGCAAAATCTGTTGGCTAATGGTAACAGCTTTGTGTTCTTTGTTGTTGAAAATGTGCATGTAGCAGTAACTCCAATATGCTCACAAACTCAGATGCAAAAGGCTATGGAAAACAGTTGCTATTTTTACACAGAAGATAAAATCAAACACCACCTTTCAGATCTTAACTTTGCTAAAATCGTGGAAAGAAACAAAGCCCGAGGTGCTAAATGTCTAAAGGATCCAGGACCTGTGATTTCTACTACATGAAAATACAGAATATATGGGACAATAAAAGGGAAGAACCAGCACTGTATTATGGGCAATGAAGTATGAACATGCCAAATCAAATCATCTGAAATAAAATATAAAGTTAAGGTTTAATTTAGTAATATTCTAGAAAATGGGATATGTGAAGCTCTAACAGTTTTTATATTTACAGACTATTTTAGTTAAATATTTTAATAGTGTTTTTCGTTAACACCTTAAAGAAAAAACTCTTCCTTATACATTACTATGATATCATAAAAGTAGTAAAAGTAATTATGATGATAACTATATTAGTTTTTGATTTGATGCTGTAAGAAATTACAACAAACAGTGGTTCAAAGAACACAACAGGGCTAAAACCAAGGTGTTCAAGGAGTTGTTAGGCTGCATTCCTTTCTAGTGCTCCCCAGAGAGAATCCATTTCCTTGCCCTTTCTAGTTTCTAGAGGCTGCCTACATTCCTTGGCTCATGGTCCCCTCCCTCCATCTTGAAAGCCAGCAGCACTACATTTCTCTGTACCTCATTTCCACAGTCACCTTGTCTTCTTTTACTTTAAGGCTCCTTGTGATTACATTGGGTATATTGGGGAAAATGCAGGATAATCACCTTATGTTCAGGTCAGCTGATCAACAACCTTAATTCCACCCGCAACCTTAATTTTCCTTTGTCATGTAACAAAATATTTACACAAGTACTGGGGGTTGGGATGCAGACACCTTCAGGGGTCATTATTATGTTTACTATAATAATTAACATTTATTGAATGTTTATTGCTTGCCAGGCACAGGTCTAACCATGTTACATCTAATAAAATATGATTCTCATAAAAATGATAATTCTATTATGCTTCTCATGTTTCAGATGAAGACACTGAGACAACAGAAGTTAAAGAACTTGCTCAGTGTTACAGAAGTGAAAATTAGAGAAGCCAGGATTGAACTCAGAAAGTCTGTAGGCAGAGCCTGTAATTTTCACCTCTCAACTCCATCCCTTCAAAGACAAAATTCTTATCTAAATATATTGCAATTACATGTTGTCATTATCATCAAGATGGTTAACTCACAGTTCATAAATTCTGGCAATCCTAATAATTATCTAGAATATGGGCAAGTTTAAAATTCAAAATGGCAACTGGAAGGACAGAGTCTACAGAGGCCATCAGGACGAATGTCTATTGGGACATCTGTCCCAATCTGGCATTTACTATACTATAGATCATATTCAATAAAATGTATGGGAGGCCATTATTTGAGCTCCTGCACTAGGCCACAACAGACCAGACCAAACCAGAATGGAGTCACTCATGCTACATGCCACATAATCAAACTGAACTTAGAAATGGGTCAGTTTCCCAAAATATAGGAGATTCCCAGCAACTAATCAAAGGAGGACCAGTGACATGAGCTGGAATGATAAAGTCCCTCTACTTTAACCCTATAAGGAATGCAATTTGGAAATGAGCAATCCTTTTTTTGTTCCTTGTTTCTGCTTTCTTCAGTCTTTTTCTGCCTATGAAGCTCACACCTTCTGCTCATCTCACTCAAATGCCCTTCTATTCTGTAGATGGGATGTGGACCAATTTATGAATCACTAATAAAATCCAATTCAATTGTTAGAACTCAATTTGCTGAAATTTTGTTCTTTTTAATTTTAATTTTTTGAGATAGGGTCTTACTCTGTTGCCCAGGCTGGAGTCCAGTGAAGGGATCATGGCTCACTGTATCCTCTACCTCCCAGGCTAAGTCAATCCTCCCACTTCAGCCTCCTGAGTAGCTGGGACTATAGGCACATGCCACCATGCCCAGCTAATTTGTGTTTTTTTCCTTTTTTTATGGAAATGGGTTTTTGCCATGTTGTTCAGGCTTGTCTTATAACTCCTGGGCTCAAGTGATTTGCCCATCTCAGCCTCTCAAAGTGCTGGGATTACATGCCTGAGCCACTATGCCTAGCTGAATTTTTTTTTTTTTTTGAGATGGAGTTTTGCTCTTGTTGCCCAGGCGGGAGTACAATGGTGCAATCTTGGCTCACCACAACCTCTGCCTCCCAGGTTCAAGCGATTCTCCTGTCTCAGCCTCCCGAGTAGCTGGGATTATAGGCATGCACCACCACGCCCGGCTAATTTTGTATTTTTAGTAGAGAAGGGGTTTCTCCATGTTAGTCAAGCTGGTCTCGAACTCCTGACCTCAGGTGATCCGCCCGTCTTGGCCTCCCAAAGTGCTGGGATTACAGGCTTGGGCCACTATGCCTGGCCAAAATTTTGTTTTTTAATATTCAGATAGCTATTATGACATCAGGCCTGCTGGGGTAACCTCACCCCAGGTGATAGCAGGACCGCAGCAAGTCTTGTCATAACACATCCAGGGGCAACATCGCTCCCAAGATTTTGAGCATGAGGAACCTTGCTTAGCATTTCATGAGCACTGGAAATGTAACGGGAAGGCTCACTGCTAAGAGGATTATTTGTATTCCCTAAATGTCACTTATATATGGAATGATGGAACTTTCTTTTCTATGTAGAAATTTCAGCTGATGATCACAAAATGAGAACAATTGGTAATAAATACACGCAGCATTCTTAAATGAGGTATCTCCTAAGGGTTTCATAAGAGGTGGCCAAACTGGCCCCTAAACCATCATCTCCCATCATTCACCTTCAGCCCACAGAAGTATAGTGATCAATTGATTTGAGAAGAAATTATAGGAGTAAAGACAGTAATAGAAAGGGGTACTTCTGCCTGTAACACCCAACAAAATAAGTGAGGGGGCTACAAGTAAACCCCTTAGGGAATTTGGAGGTAATTGTATAATAGGAGATTGTCACCCCACTTCCTACCTGTTTATTTTGTGACTTGCAAAAATTGACTGCCTCCTCCCTTCCCCATGCATGACAGCATTCTTGGGAGAGTCTGATGTGTGCTTCTGGAGTGAGGAGGCCCAGAGCTGGTGTGGGATGTGCTGGAGAAGTCTGAAGATGCAAGGCTGGTTGGAACATCTCTATGGTGGGGTGAGGAGGAGCGGTACAGTGGGAACAAGCTGTACTTGCATCATTTGGAGGGTGGGAGATCAGGAACTCTAATAAGCCAGGTAGATGCTGTGGCTGTAAGTTAAGCTAGAGCTGTCTCAAACTGGCACTGTCCAAGAAGTCTACCAGCCGGGGTAAGGAGACTCAGGGGTATATGTCTGAGGTCAGAGGCTTAGGGAAATAGGTCAGTGGGAAAATCACCTACATTAGTGACTGGTATAGTAAGGAGCACTCTAAAAAATCCACAAAAGTAGCCACAAAGATTCCTTGATGGCCAGATTATACCAGATAATGCCAGTTAAGTAAAATCCTATCCTATTGAATCTTGTCTTTGTCTCCTGGTTCCAAAGACTGAGAAATAGGAGAAGGTGGAATCCTGCCTCCCACCATACCATAGGATGCTCCTTGTGGTTCAGGTCCAACAGGCAGAAAGGAAGAAAGCTTTCATTTATATTGGATTGCATATTTTAGCCCCCGACAAACAAGTTGCTTTTTTTTTTACCCAAAAGTGACCAGAAAGCTATCAGCCAGAAAGCTGAGATGTCAGGGTGTGGAAGAGGCAGCCTCAACAGTTTATACTTGAAGGGGAGAGAAGAAACAAAGCTGTTTTCTGACTGTGCCATGTTGAGCCCCGTCTAGTCAATGAATGTATAGCATATGAAATCATATCTCACAACTGTGCTGGGTCAGTAGAGCAAGTATGCTGGCCTCATTTTAAAAGTAAGGAAAGTAAGGCTCAGGGAAGCTAAGCAATGTGTGTGAAGCCCCATTGCTCATGTGTGGGGAGTCATGGATCCAGACTTGGGCATCAGAGCCCAGACCCAGTGACATCTCCCCTGTACCACAGTGCCTCTGGAGGTGACAAGTGATGTGCCCAGAGGCCCGGCCACTGCACACCTAGAGTCACAGAGGGATGAGGTTCATCTACCCTGACTCCCCTGCTTCAAAAGAGGTATTCCAGAGGTAACACATAGGGCTTCCCCACTTCCCACTTTCCCTGTGGTGTCAGAGGAAGTATTTATTTTCATAACACTTTGGTACAAAGGACTGCAGGCATTGTCCATGCCTCTACTAAGTATTGGCCTTTCTTTTATGGTGTAATCATAGCTCACTGCAGCCTTGAACTACTGGGATCAAGCCATGCTCTGGCCTCAGCCTCCTGAGTACTTGGGATTACAGGTATGCACCACTGTGCCTGGCTAATTTTTTTTTTCTTAGAAATAGGGTCTCCTGCCTGAAACCCCAGCACTTTGGGAGGCCAAGGCAGACAAGGCAGATCACTTGAGGTCAGGAGTTCAAGACTCCTGGCCCACATGGCGAAACTCCACTCTACTAAAAATACAAAAATGAGCTGGGCGTTGTGGTGCATGCCTATAGTCTCAGCTACTAGGGAGGCTAAGGCAGAAGAATCGCTTGAACCCAGGAGGCGGAGGTTGCAGTGAGCCGAGATCACGCCACTGCACTCCAGCCTGGGCGACAAAGCGCGACTGTCTCAAAAAAAAAAAAAAAAAAAAAAAGAAAAGAAAAAAGAAAAAAAGAATAGGGTCTCCCTACCTTGCCCAGGCTGGTCTTGAACTCTTGGGCTCAAGCAATCCTCCCAGCCTCCCAAAGTACTGAGATTACAGGCATGAGCCACCGTGCCTGGCATAGTGTTGACCTTTCTTTGACAACAAACTTAAGACAGTGTCCTGTCATCACTGTAACTTTCCCCAAAAAGCTCCTCTGCCTCTGCAGAAAGAGAACGAGCACAGAATTGAGAGCCGTATGCATTTGGCTGAAGACGAGGAAAAGCGTGCGCTTTTTTCTGAGTACAGACAAAGGAGTGATTTTACCAGGAGAGACAAAATGAGAACCAACTTTGCCTTCAAAGCAGGCCCATACCTCAGCATGGCGCCGAAGCCCTTCTTCTTTATTTTCCTTTCTGGATCTTCATTCTCCTCTTTGCGCTTTTTCTCCTTGACTTTCAATTTGCCCTTTTCCTTTTTCTTCTCCTTCTCTTTCGTTTTTTTGACTTTCCTGGCTTTATTTTCCATGTCCTCTAGCTCCGAATTCCCCTGAGGGGCAGACTCACAATTCAGAGCTCCTTGGCCAGAGTGAGAGCTCTTATCAGACAGACCGTCTGTACAGAGAAAAAATAATCAATACCCATGGTCAGGGGCACACTCAGTTAGTATACAGAGAAACGCTAACATGTAAAATGCAAAAGAATGAATAACAGCACTCTGTAGTTCTACCCTTCTATGTGGTTACGTGCGCCCTTTGAAGATCTGACTGCCTAAATCTGGTTACTTCGAGCAAGACTTGATGCTGGGAGTGGGGACAACCGGTTGCTTAGCTGGTAGTATGAAAGGCTTGATATGTGTTCAAGCACTAATCTCTCTGAAAGCTGCCTTGTTAACCTTGATCAGCTCAGAAAGCCTGCATGCTGGGAAACAAACAGGGTGAGAAGAGAGTTTTGAGTACAAAATATCCCAACTGCTTCTACCCAATTAATGCAGTCGGAGTCCTTGGATTGATGCTGCCTCTAATGACTCGAATGAGAATGTCAAGAAATGCATACTTAGTGCTCCTACCCTAAGGGTAAATGACAGTTGGTCCTTGTAGAAAAGTGAAGGAGAACATTTATTTAGCCTTGCACTGTAAAATAAATTGCATATTGTGTTCTCCAATTCCATGTTCATTAAGCCAAAGGGCAAAACATATCAGGAAAATGAATTACTTTTAATATCAAAAATATAATTGTGATCCTTAAATCATTTTTTTCTGTAGTTGAGCACACATTCTTGCCCATGATTTGCAGATAATAATGAGATGAAGAAGCCATTTAAGGAAGCATATCATCCTACCAGCTTCTATTTCTTCAGGTCCATCGTAGGATTTGTCAATGGCTGCTCTAAAGCTCTCATTGCAGCCTCGGCCTCGAACCATGTGCGGCCGGGGCCTGTGAAAGGGAAGGTCATTCTTCCTGACCTCGGCCACTGCAGTCTGCAGACTCTCCAAGGAGCTGGACTTTTTCAAACCCAGAGTTGGACCAAAATCTTTGCTTGGAGATTCTGGAAAAGAAAGGGCAAAAGGTCACCCCTCTTCTAATGGGGCAGTGTGGTGTAATGCTATTGTTCTAAGAATATTTCTGTCTGGACATCCCAAAAAAGGGGTGTTAAGTGGGTGGGAGTTGGGGTTATACTCCAGCTTTGCCACCTTTTGTAACCTTGAACAAGTGGTTTGACTTCTCTGAGCCTCTGTTTCCTTTTCTAAAGCTGTGATAAAATTTAATATGACTATAGGTACATTTCTCTCTATGCAGAAGTGTATATGCATGTGTGTCTATAGGCATATACACACACACCTATGAATTTGAAAGGCTGTAGCTATTTATAGAGACTATGTATGTGAATGAGAGTGATTTCACATATGTGAGAATACCCACATACACACATGCATACTCACAGACACACACACAAACATACCAAGCACCTAACATGACGAGAGCTTCTCTTCCAGTATCGTCCTAGCACTCCCACACCTGACAGCTTTTATCATTGCCATGGTTGCTCATATGATTAGTAAGGAACATACTGGGCATGGAAATAAAAGAACATTGAAGTGACTGTGATTTTTCTAATTAAACACTTTACCTTACCCTATTGGCTATTAATGTATGGTAACTGCCATTTATTTAATCAATCAATCAAGCAAGCAAAGCAAGAAAGAAAACAACTTTTCTGTGTCGATGCTATAGTTCTGAATGTATTCCTATTTGGTATCTAGAAAAGAGGCAACCTTTTAATGCAATATAAAATTATAAAACAGAAAATATAGAGCACAACTGAATTTGAATCATTGCTTTTCTGGTATATAATGTTTTTCATTTGTGCGGTTTGCCTTGCCCTCTACCTGCCCCCTCCCACTCCATTCCTTGACCTCCATTCCCACCCCCAGCTAGTCTCTCAATTATCAATAACAGGATTAGGTTATATAAATATTAGCAGCATTATATATATATATTATATATATATATATAATATATAATATTAGCAGGATTATCTTTAAGACAGAAGGAATTCTATCAGGGCTCTTGTCTCTACAGTCAAAGCTTTTCCACCAGGGCCACAGCTCATGTTCCTTTCCAGTTACGAAGGAGACTACTGTCATGAAGTCTACTTGCATTTCTGGGAAAAAACGACTGTGTCATTTATCAATAGACAAGAGTACCTATTAAGAATTATGTATGTAAAGTACCTACTTCAATGTCTAGCACCTAGCAAGGCTCAATAAACGGCACTATCTTTTATTACTATCATCACTATTTTTGCTTCTATTATCACTGCCACTATGAACACTACTACTAGCAGCTGCACACAGCATTAAGGAATACAAAAGAAGTACAAAAAAGCACTGATGTATATATATACCTATGTGAAGTGAAATAGCAATACACACCTTTACCTATGATCCGAACGTGTTAAAAATAGTCAACATAATGAATAATCGTAATAGCTAATAATGCATGGAGTGCTTAGTCTGTGTTAAGCACTATTCTAAATGCCTCACCCACAGTAACTTACTATAATCCTTATAGTTGTGCTACTGGTACTACTTTTAGCCCCATTTTACAGATTCAGAAATTGAGGCACACAGCATTGACATAACTTGTCTAAAGTTAAACACTTAATAAGCATCCAGACCAGGAGCTGGGCCGAGGCAGCCTAGTTCCAGCTTTTCTGCTGTGTACCATGTACTTTACTGTCTAAAGATGTATTTGCTCTGCACCCTCTATTTGATTATGGTCAAACAACTTAAACTGCCCTACATTGTCCTCATTTCTAAAATAAGAATATTAGGCTAGATTAACCCTGGAGCCTCGTCAAGTAGGCAAACTGCAAAAATTGGATGTTGCGTTATAGTTTCATCATTAACTTATAGGAGACAACTTTGCACTTTGAACAATATACAGGATGACAATAAACACTAGATTTTATAAACCCTACTGGCTATTAATGTAGGGTAAGTGCAATTCAGTATTCAGTAAATTCAACAGAGTATATTCAATAAATGCAACAGAGATAAGACTAAGCAAAAAAAAAAATACAAAAAATTTCAGGGACAAATTTCAGGTGTTACTTGCAAGTCATAAATACTGAGGATATGTCACTATTAAATCCAGAAAGAGGCATATTTTTTATATTCCCAGGAAGGAAGATAAGTTGAAGAAACAGAAATTGAATAAGATGATTTCTGACAAGAAAACAAAAGGCATCACAGAGGTTTGGGTGTATAGAAGCAATAGTAAAAGCTTTGGAGTTTACAGAAAATATTTTATAATATCAGCCCCTAGGGATGTCTGACATGAAGTTTAGTGAAAACATGAAGATGAAAACTATCTGAGAAAGCCCTGATTCTCTGTCAGCAATAGTAACCATCTTTTATTTATTAATTGCCATTCAGGAGATTACATTAGAGCCCAAACTGTAAGCATTCACGTCAACGTTTAGCAATAAATTCCAGGGAACATGAAAGTGAATAAATCGTCCAAGATAGAAGGCACGTTATCTAAAAGGAGCTCATGTGAAGCTCAGCAAGAAGTCATAGCTAAGAAGAAACAAATACACTGTTCCTCATTCTAAGCAAACTGAACATTAAGGATTCATGGATTTTGCAAGATTAATAGAGTTGGCAATTAATTCACTCTATATAAATAGAAGTCACAAAGTAGAAGTACTAACTGATGTTGGGCAATATTACAACCTAACTCTATTGGATGTAATACATGGTAATATTAAAAGCAAAAAGGGTGGTTGAGTCCTTAGGTTGTAAATGTGGACTCTGGAGTTTTCAGGATTGGAAAAAAAATTCTATTTATTCCTGGAGAATGCACAGAATGTAGCTGTAGAGTAGGGACTCATGTTAGAGAAGAGAACCAAAATCAGGAAAGTCCTTATAAGGATTTACAGGTACAGTGAACTGACTGAACTGGGGGCTCTGACAAGCACCTTCTCCAGGGATCCCCATGTCTTTCATATGTTTGAGGGCTCCTACAGAAGGTCAAGGTTACCTGCTGTGTAAGGGATTATAATGTCAATTGAAAGGCATCAGTGTTAAATTCCAACAAAACACTTGGAATAAAATACCCTCCCTGTAAAGATTGTGTGGAGTACAATAAATTGCCACTTTCAATCCCTCTTCCCTACTCCTACTCTCACCAATTTCAGTTTAGGTTGATGGTGCGTAGAAAATTTTACAGCTTTTAAAATGAGAAGATTCACTGTCTATGTCTAGCCTCACCATTTACAAAAATCACATTTTTTTTTTCTAGGCTTTCACTAAAACCAGGGGTCTCAAGAAGAGGTCTCTTTCAAGTGAGTAATTTAGCAAAATCAAAACCTCAGCCAATTGATCCCATTGAAGTTATCCTAAAATATGATGACTCTTCATATTTTCATCTATAGCTGATGCGATATTGGTTGTGGCTTCTATGTCCATGTTCTTTAAGATCGAGAAGAACGGATCCTCCCCTCACAAACATGAGCTCAACATACACAAGATTCATGAAACAGATGACACACAATTATCAAGGGTGCTAAAAGAAGGATCTCACATAAAAATTATTCTCAAGGTGGTATAATAAAAACATTCTTAATGTCAGGTGCCAAATTTTCTCTTAAAATTGTGGCCTCATTAAAAAAATGCCACATATTTTTTTTTTTTTAAAAAGATGTTATAGCGCTTTTAAAGATTCCATCTGTTTCCAAATGAAGGATTAGCTTGACATGGTCCTATATAGAGTAGAGGGAAATTTCAGGGTCATGTCTTCTGCACAGATCAATCCTCCGATACATCCCCTACTACCCTCCATTCCCAAAAATACAGCGTTATGAAAAGAATGAACACACACACACACACACACACACACACACACACATACACAAACACACTCCAAGACTAAAGAGTTAAGCTGTGCCAGGCAAAATGCCCATGTGTCCTGTAGGCATAAAAAGGGTGGCAAGAGGCCCATGAGAGAGCTACCACCTAGTTGGAGAGGTGCCACTATGAAACTGATTCTTAAGATGCTGAGAAACCGCTGCCCCAGCCTTCCAGGTATTATAGAAAGCCTCACTTCAACATGCTATGAAACAGAAGGTCCTTCCTGGAGGATAGTTTGGATGTGGACCTCAGTTTCTCTGACTCAGTCTTGGATTCCTGCCCTTGCCTTACAGCTGAGCACTGCTGTTGCTTCTCCACAGGCAGATGATTTGAATAATTGAGAATAAAACTGTCTAGAGGGTAGTGGTTAATACTGAAGGATTAAAAGGAGGCTGTAGAATATCCAAACATTCCCTGCCCTGCTAATTACTTCTTGAGTTAATAACCTCTTTGTGCCTCAGTTCCCTCAGCTATCATATTGAGGATAAGAAAAGCATAGAAGGGTGCCTGGCACATCGTGAGTGCTCATAAAGCAATGGTGATCATTACTGTCACAGTCACTTTTGTACCACCTCTAAACATTTCAATGAGGGAAATCTTAGATTTGGTTCAATCCATCATTGAATTCTTAAATATGATCATGCGTTCTACAAACAGCTAAAAAGGACTTCATAAAAAATGCTTTCCCTTTTTATTCAAAAAGGGAAACAACTCCTTAAATTTTTTTAAAACAATTAAACTCCTGAAATTGTTTTTTCAAACAATGCCTTACATTTCTTCTTTTGACACAGGTATATATATGTTCATCTGTTCATCACATATAGAGGCCATTGTGATAAGATAGATTAATAGTGGAGTCTTAGTTGCCCTTCTCCTTAGGCTATAATCACCTAATTAGTCTGAGATTTAATTGGCAATGTTTGAACTTCCCACTTTAGCATTAAAAATCTCACAATAAAAGAATGTCTTAATCCAGAAGACCAGTAATTGGATCTTCCATTATTGATGAAATTGCTTCCAATACATCCATATTAAAAAATGAGAAATTGTCTTAGGGAAGATATTCACTTCCAGATACATGGCAAGTTTTTCTTCCAGCTAGAGCTTTGTAATTAACAAATACTTATGATAAATTAACAATAAATAATGTATTAATTTGTACATTCCAATAACATCAATGGCCCTCACGGCACTTAGTGAAAATTAATTAATTTACAATCCTTCCTTCTAAAATAAAGGGATTGTTTCCCATCATAAATTAGGGATCAAGATTATTATAATGCCATCCAGGGGTCACAGCATGAGACCTGGGAAGGCTGAGAACTTGTCAAGATAGCTTGCTTTTATTATCAATTTGGCCTTGCCTTATTATGAGCAGTCAACTTGGACAAACACAATAGAAACGCCTTTCCTGCTGCATGGGGAGTTGTGATGTGAAATTAATAAATGTAAAACTCTTTGAATACAAAATTATTGTAAATTCCAAGTAGGAGTCACAATACCACTTTATTCTCCCACATATTTCACTTTGTCTTTTCATTTTAGATTACATTTACTGAAAATTTTCTGTTTGATTTTTTAAGTAGATTTCCTAGAGGCAAAATGTCTTATATGCTTTACTTGATATCATTGCAAATCCATTAGCCTTTAAAAAATTCTCCATAATATCCAAATGTATAATTTCCCAAGTTATGTTATCTGTGTTCACTGTGTTCATAATGGGCCTAATTACCTTCTTGCCTATCACAGTGTTCCAAATATTGATCATCATTCCAAGCTTATCACAGTGCCCTGTTTCCTATTCATTACCATAGGGCATAATGCAATTTGGCTTTACATTATCTGCTGTCATTTGGGTCTCAGTTCTTTTACTGGCAATTTCCAAGTTCTCCAAGAGTGGAATTTTTCTTTTAAGTCTCACAAATCCCAGGGTCTTTTATCGTTTCCTGAAATTCACATCAAAATGTTCAATAATGAACTTCTCATTAAGATTCATACATTTGCATAATCTCTCCTACCCTATCTCCAAATACTTTATTTTAAAGTGAAACTATCCAGAGAAAATATCGGAAGATTATGTGAACAAATAAATTCCTTGATTATGAGTATGAGCATGGCCCTTCAAGTGTGTTCAAATGTTTGCCAAGTATTGCTATATACTTTAATTTTCTTTACTAAAAATTCCTTCTTTCACAAACAAATAGTCAAAATTTTATGTCTTGTTTAGGTTTCTTTCCTGAACTCAGATTATGTCCCCAAAATGTAACAAATAGTGAATTCATTACCCCAAAAATATTCTGACATTTTTGTTTTTCTTTTTTCTTCTATCTTACAGATAAGAAAATATACTCCATGGTTCAACTTAGTGGTTAAACTATTTCTAAAGATACATATATAACCTTATCTGTGGGTAGATTCTGGTAGGGCAACTGAGGATCCCAGACAACACCATTCCCAGCATGCTGGTTTGTTTTAATCTTTTGTTTTCATTCTTTCCTCCCTTAGAAAGACTCTACTGGATTAAAAAAACAAAATGAACAAACAAAAAACAAATAAAAAGCTGCATTCAAGAAAATAACTGAAAAATTAAGTACACAGCATTGGTCTCCAGAAGAGACATGTGGGTACTTATAGGAAAACACTACCTTTATTATTTAAATAAGTAATAGAATACTCATTTGAGGGTCAAATAAATGGACCAGTGTGGGAAATTTTCCTACCTGTGATACAGCATCAAAAAATGTTACCTACCTTTCCTAGACTTATTGATTTTTCTATCCTCAGTACAGAGATCTACTGCACAAATATTTGTTGTAGGAAAAAAGGAACATGAAGGTAAAGGGTACTTACAACACTGGGATGCCCCTTTTCTTCAGTGCTGTGAGACTGAACAAAGTTTTACATGGAGAAACAGTCCACAATTGCTTCACTTCCTCAAAGCCCACATACAGCTTCCTCTTCTTTGTTAATACAACCCTTAGGTTCTTTTACATACTTTCAATGATTTAATAATTACTGCCCTACCCATAATTATTCATTCATCTCTGTATTTTGCCTTTCTTTGCATACTAGTTGTTCCTTTTGCTTAACTTATCTTTGTAATATTAATGTTTTCTGCCATTTCCACCTCATGTGTGCTTTAAATAGTCTTAATTTTACCTACTGCCAAGAACACCTTTATTTGCCTTCCAGCTCCTCCTTGTATACCTTGGTAACAGGCTTTATATTCTAAACACAGACCATTGCGGTGATTTTTTCCCTCTCTTTCCTTTTGCCATTAACTCTTTGTATGTCTTGCTAAAACAGTAAATGTTTCTTCTGCTTTTGATTGTTGAGTGGTTTGTATGTTTATGTGGGTTGTATATGACAGTACTCTCAAAATAAGGCATAATATAAAGAATTTTAATGTTTCCTCAAAAACCATTAGCATAACATAAAAGGTCAATGTTTGATTGATTTCTTGGAGGGTACATATATGAATGTATCTTTACATATTGTATAGCCTGGGCACCTGTATTTTTTAAGGTTAAATGCTATTTTTATAATTTTTTGTATTTTTCCCCTTTTTATATCTATCCGATTGTACTTGAAAAAAAAGAGCATTTCAATTCTCAATAACTGAGTTATTTACAGAACTGATAGAAAGTGAGGTTTTTCAGTTTCATGTTCATATGAATAACAATTTCTTTATAAATACACTTTAAGCAAGGTTTCAATCTAATGTTAAAATGTCAAGCCAAAATCAAGTCAGCTGTTGACAATTATTTACTGGGTATTTTTTGTGGCTCATAACTGTGCTTGGTCCTAAGAGGAATGGAAGATAAATGTGACTATAACTAACATTTTCTGTGGCTTTACAGTTCACTAAATTTTTTTCCTGTACAAAGTGAAGTCTAATCACACACAATTGATCTTACCCAAATTCAACTGTATGTTCATGATGAGAGAAAACTAGAAAAAAAGGTGGGAGGATGGGCAGGATAAAATAACTTAATGAGAGCAATTTCACTTACCTTCCATCTCAATGACAGTGTGCCCTTGAGGGACTGTGTGTCTGGGAGGGAACAGGAGTTTGGAGAAATGAGTTGTTCTCTGCGGGTCTTTGCTTGCCTCTCTCATGCTGAGCATCTCACCACCCTGAGTATGATTCCTGTGTTTCAAGATTTATAGCTTTCATGTGTGCCTGAGTTAATGTGGTCTGCTATAACAAAAATACCATAGACTGGGTGGCTTATCAACAATGGAATTTTCTCGCAGTTCTGGAGGCTGGGAAGTTCAAGATCAAGGTGCTGACAGATTTGGTGTCTGGTGAGGGCCTGCTTCCTGGTCCATGGATGCCTGTGTTCTCATTGTGTCCTCACATGGTGGAAGGGTCAAGGGAACTCTCTGTGAGTCTTTTTTTTATAAGGAAACTAATCCCATTCATGAGGGCTCTACTACAGCTCTCTGCACCAGCAGAGATGGCATTGTGTGGATGCCACCAAAGTTGCTGCCTGTGCCCTTGGGAGGGATAGCCTCTGTGACCCATGCTACACTGGGTCCCACTGGAGCTCTACCTGGGGTGTCCAAGCAATTTGACACTACAGCACAAGGAATAGAACCCAGTGGTGTTTGGCTGCCCTATGCAGCATGCACTGAGGTCCTGAGGGCACCAGCAGCCCCTCCTTTGACACCACTCTGTCTCCAGGGCCCTTGCACTCTGGGCCTGTTGGTAGGAAGGATTGTCCTGATGATCACTGAATTGCCTTCAGAGTCATTCTTCCATTGTCCTGGAGAATAGCTCCTGGCTTCTGCTGAGATGGCTGATCCATACTAATCTCCTTATCAAACAGTTGTTTGACCACATCCTTAGTATTCTTTCCCAAACAGGCTTTTTCAGACTTTTCAATATGGATAGGCTGAGAATTACCTAAGTCTTTAAGCTCTGCTTCCTTTTTGATGGACAATTCCATCTTTAGGTCATTTTTCTCATCTTGAATTTTACTATAAGCAGTCAGAAAAAGCCAGGCTGTGCCTATGGGTTCAAACAAACTATCTACAATTACATTAATTAAATACGCTATCTGGATTTTAGAGAAATCAGAGAAATTTGCTTACAAATAGCTTCAGCTAAATACCCAATTTCATCACTTACAAGTTCTACCTTCCATAATACACCAGAACAACACACTTCAGCAAAGTTCTTTGCTACTTTATATCGAGGATGGTCTTTTCTCCAGTTTCCGTGAATAACATGTTCCTCATTTCCATCTGAGACCTCATAAGAATGGCCTTTACCATCCATATTTCTACCAACGTTCTATTCAAGATTATGTGGGTATCATCTAAGAAGACTCAGAGATCGAAGCTTTCTTTACAGCTCTCCTCTTGTGATGGTGGTGTTGGTGGTGTTGGTGTTTTTTGTCGTTGCTGTTGCTTTTTTTGTTTGTTTTTGTTTTGCTTTGGAGCCCTTGCCAGAATCACCTTTTAAAAGTTCAGTCATGACAATGTGGGCTTTTTTAAGCATGCACTTAAAAACTCTTTCAGCCTCCACCCATTACCCAGTTTCAAAGCTGTTTCCATATTTTTAGGTATTTGTTATAGTGTCATTTTACTTCTTGGTACCAATTTTTGTCTTAGTCCATTTGGGCAGCTATAATGAAATTTCATAAACTGGCTTACAAACAACAGAAATGTATTTCTCCACTGTTCTGGAGGCTGGGAAGTGCAAGATCAAGGCACAGGCAGATTCAGTGTCTGTTGAGGACCTACTTCCTGGTTCACAGATGGCCATCTTCTTGCCACATTCTCAAGTGGAAGAGCTTTCTGGGGCCTCTTTTAGAAGAGCACTAAACCTATTCAAGAGGGTTCCAGCATCACGACCTAATAATTTCTCAAAGGCCCTATCTACTAATACCATCATATTGTGGTATAGGATTTCAATGTATGATTTTTTGGGGGAAACAAACATTTTGTCTATAGCAATGTGTCACTATCTTCAAACACAAGCCAACTATTTCATCGGTGTTTGACTGATGAAATGGCTATCTCTTTGAAACAATAATTTTGTATTCTCTATGGTGAATTGAGGGGATTTCCAAAGGTATTTTGTGATTTCCCTTCACATTCCTGAGAGGCAGTGCCTCAGTCCTACATCTCATGTAAATTTCAGAACAAACACTCAACCTTCTTTCAATTCTTATTTTAAGTTCCCTGAGAGTGCATACAAGGAAATGTCATCCTATTGACTTGGCAAGGCTACTCAGATGCTATATGAGGCTTTCCTGGTCTGACAAACCTTGAGCTGAAATTCCTCCCATTTTCTTTGCTGCCTCAGAAATAAAAGATTAAACACCTAGCTTAGTCAAAGACATTCTAGTCTATGTGTAGAGCAAAGATAAACACACATGAACTAATAACACCAGAGAATGTATAGGAGATCCTTAAAGCTCAAGAAGGACCCATCTCAGGGGAATACAAGTCCCCAAATTTTAGAAAATAAATTGTTCGTACATACACCTGGATTTATCTGGATTCATATTTCCAATGGTAGCCATGTTACCTGTTTACTCAGCTAATTAATTGCATCTCTGGCATTCACTCATAATTTACTCTTTAAAGCAATTGCTATTACAAGCACAATCTGACATTAGACATCTTGGGTTCTCTTAGTCCGTTTTTTGTTGCTATAACTGAATACCTGAGAATGGGTAATGTATAAAGAAAAGAAATTGATTTCTTTTAGTTCTAGAGACTGGGGAGGCCAAGGTTTAGGGGCCACATCTGGTAAGGGCCTTCTTGCTGGTGGGGACTCTCTGCAGAGTCCCAAGGCAGCACAGGGCATCACACGTTGAGGGGGCTCATGACAGATGGCCAAACTAGCTTTTATAATACACCATTCTCATGATTACTAACTCACTCCCTCAATAACCCATTAATCCATCAATCCATGAATGGTTTAATCCACTAATTTATGAATGGGTTAATGGTGGCAGAGGCCTCATGACTCAGTCATCTCCCAAAGGTCCCACCTATCTCCACGCTGCTGCACTGGGAGCTGTGTTTCCAGCACATGAACTTGTTGGGGACACACTCAACCATAGCAGTTTTATGCCCCAGCTCCACCCATATACTATTTGTGTTACTCTAGGTGAGGCTCTTACCTCTCAGTGCCTCAGTTTCCTTATCTGTAAAACAGAGATAATGATAGAACCTCATTTATGGGGTAGTTGGAAGATTATCTGATACAGAACTTTGAACATGATACCTGGCAACAGCAAATATTCAGTACATGTCACCGCTTAGCATCATATTTTTTTTTTGGTGAACAAAATTTACACCCATTAGGAGGATTCTCTATAACCCACAGAATGGCAAGAGGATTTCTGCTTCCCTATTCATACATTGTAGGACAGGGTCATTACTAGCTCTGAATTTTCACTCTTTATTGAAAACTTCTACTTTTTTTGGTCTAAGATTTCTTATCACTTTTCAAATCATCTTCTATCTCCTTTACTTCTATTAGTAGCCCAAATAAACTTGTTTATTTCTTGCAAAGATATTTTTCATGAAGAAGTAACATGCTAAAACAATTTCCTGAGAATAACCATGCCAGGGACAGCAAGTAAAGAACTAGTTAGTTTCTTTCACTCTTCTCCATCAGACTAACCCATGACACCATCAACAAAATTACAAATCAGACAAGGTCATGGACTTTTGGGATCACTGGCCAGCAGGTATCTCTGCAAACCACGTACCAAGAATGCTGACATAGAGCACAGTTAAGGGCTGGAGTATTTTAGGCTTGCAGAAGTCAGAGAAAAGAAAGCACAGTGTGACTTTAAGTCACTGAGTAAGACTTTATGCATGATGTGGGTCATATCCTTGAAGATGGATGATATATAGGTAAGAGAAGTAGGAGGTGGACAGGCACACCACTTAGAGGAAAAGGCATGAGGAAAAGTCCAAACACGTCTCCTGGGGGGTGGGGACACCGGGAGGATGGAGTGACTAGTAACAAAAAACAATGTGGTAGAGATTGGTGGGAAATAAACATGAGTAGAAAGGATAAAGTAAAGGCATGAAGGGCTTTGAAATCTGGCTAAGAAGGCAAGGCCCAAATTAGGGGACAATAGAAAGCCATGAAGTTTTTTTACCAGAGTAAACGCTTGATGATATTGGTATTCAGAGAAAAAATAATATGGAAGACACACATAGAATAAATTAAAGGGAAAGAGAGTGGTATATTTTGCAGCAATGGAACTCATTGCTAATAAAATCTCTTGCTCTTCCTTTCTTTTTACAATTTCAAATTTCTTCTAATTTCTTCATATACATTTTTAGCATGGTTAGTCATCTGTCCTCAAAATGAACAGAACTATTTTCCCCAGGTTTTTCTCTGACGAGGAGGGATAGGGTGCAGGAACATATCTTAATGCACTTGGGAGCCAGGAGGTGCTCAGGGTTATGTGTCTGGGTGGACGGGACAGGGGGCACTGCCTGCTACCCCTAGGCTTCCTCCTGGCATGGCTTCATTGTGACTGTCATGGCCGGACCCTTTGCTATCTCCTCGTAAGCACGCTTTACTATATTTGGTAATATATAATGATTAATGGGCAGTAAAACTAATAACATGGGGACACACAAAATAAATGAGGTGGCAAATATGGAAAGGAAGTACCACTTAATGTTGTTGTGAAATCTGACAGCATACTGGAGTTTCCCAGTAACTCAGCCTGAGGAATCTTTGCCAGCGGGAAACAAGGTTACAAGAAGGTGATACTTCCATTAATAACCTTCCCTCAGGGAACTCTATGATCAGTCTTTCTTGTACTGAAATTCTTGCTGGGTTGTACTGAGATGTCAGGGTACATGGAAACACTTGCTTTACTCTACCTCAGAGAAGCGCACAGAGAAACAGCAAGAGTGTCACAACTCTCCACTTATCCTAAACTGTCTCTCTTTTCTCCCCCGAGTGCTGACATCCATTCTTTTTCCTAGCCGGCACCCATTATTCTATCTAAAATGAGCATCCTGGCTTTCCTTGGTGTACTATGCCTCCTCAACTCTCATTCAGTGTGCCTACGACCCAGACATGACTAATCAGTGCATTTCTTCCCCCTGGTGAGCTCTGGGACAGCTACTGACACACACAGGGCTAACTAGAACTAAGCCTGGTAGAGTGAGCAGTCTTTGTTACTGGGGTTACTGGGAGAATCTAAGCCTGGAGCTTCTGGCAGCCATCTTGCTTTTCTGTAAGAATCAAGTCTGAAGAGAGGAACCAGAACTGCACGAGAGAGTACTGCTGACATGGAGACCCTGGGTGCAGCTACATTTCTTTGTGGATGTTCCTCTGAACATTTTAGTTGCCAGGAGTCAAGAAATTATCTTTGCAAAACTAGTTTGAAATTGTTTTCTTTCCATTGTAACTCACAGTCTTGACTTCATATTCTATTCTCCAATCTCTCATCCACATAACAATCCATGTTACCACCAGTTGTTTCTGCTCAGGTCGGACACTTGAGTAACAGGGCAGACTGCTGGTGAAGGAATGGTGAGTACAGAGCTAACCACACCAGTGAGAAGTGTGTCTGACACCAGCTTATAGACAGGCATGTTCCAGTCTGTTGCTGCATGGATTTTACAAGTGACAAATCTTCTACATCAAGAAGAGTTTTATTACATTGGTTTGCTCACCTTGACCCCTGACTCCTTTGTGAAGAGAGGACCATTCTTCAGATCATTAGTAATAAGTAGAAACATACTACCAATGGTTAGACAATTTAGAAAAATAGAATGGCTTTCAAAAGAGAGGTAAAATCAATTCTTGCTATGGTTGACCAGGGGTTCAAACAACCTATCTACAATGACATTAATTAAATATGTTGTCTGGATTTTAGAGAGATTGGAGGAAATCTGATATCACTTTTAAGAGCTAGGTATTCCCATAGGTATTCTCATGACTACTCAACAGAGGCCTCTCATTTAGGAGGAGAGAGACCTGTCTCCCAGGAAGAGGGTATCTATTTCTGGAGAAGGGTTTGTGTTTTATCACTGTGTTTGTTTTAAGTTTCCCTTTCACAGAAATTTCCAGACAAACTGTGAATTAGAAACTTTTCTGTAAATTGACTCTAAGGAAATGATGGACTAAAAGCAGTCTAGGGTGCTTAACAACAAGATTTGATATAGGAGGCATGTTCAGTGGGGACTTGGAATTGAAAGGTTTAGAATCTAAGGAAGTTATTTAATCTCATCTGGGCTTCAGTTTCTACATCAGTAAAAGTGGGATAATGGAAAAATCATATTGATGATGATAATGATGATGATAAAAATAGCAGCAGCTATCTCTGTACCAGGCACATTCTTATATATATCTATTAACTCATGTAATTATATGAGGTATACACTAATATTATCCTCATTTTATAGTTGAGAAAATTGAGGCAAAGATAAAGTAACTTGTCTAAGTTAACAGGGATGCCAGTCTCATAAGTTTCACTTGGTTCACTGCTAATACTCCCCCAAAAAAGAAAAAAAAACTGTTTTGTTCTTATTTTAAAATCAACTTTTGAGCAATGTGATATATTTTTATATTCCCTGCCTTGTTCTGGGTAAAAATTTAGGAAGGAGCTTGTGATGCATCATTAAATAGTTTTTCCCATCATTTGTTATTATAAGATGAAATTATGTATGTACAAAAAATTCACAAAGCTGCAGTGTACTCTATATACACGTAATATGTTGCTACTAATTAAAAAGGAGGATCTTTTCCTCCACATCTGCAGGATGTGGACTCAGCTCATCAAAAGACAATATGGGTATCTCTTTGTGAACACCTGCTCTCAAGGAACAAGCAATCTACATGAAGGTCAAAATGCAAAACTCAAAAGCATCCCAAACAAGGTGGGATGTGGCAAGATACAGAGGGAGTGGCAGAAGTCAGAGGAGAAAATGATGACTCTAGGCTGAAATAGATCCTTGGAATATGAGCAGCACCAAACAGAGATGGTCCTGGAGACAGAGTGGGCGACAGCGGAGAACATCGGCCTGCCAAGGGGCAGCAAGCCCAGCCATGTGTCCACTGCAGAGTGCTCATGGGGCCTGGGAGTATAGGAATGAGGTTGAACAGAGAGAATGGGAAAAGACCAACAAGGACCTTAGTGGCCAGATAAACAGGTTTATGACACCCACTGGCAATAAGGGGCCTCTGAAGTCAGTGACCCTGGATCCAAACATAGTCACTCTAATGCACATGGACAATAGGCAAGGCAGGGACTTATATCTATACCATGCCCTAGCTAGGATTCAATTGCTCTGAGTGGGTATTGCCTCAGTACCCTAAACTGGGATGGATGTTTTGCTCTGGCAGAACAACAACAACAACAATAATAATAATAATGATAGCTAATCTTTATTTAGAACTTCCCATGGTACAGTCTCTGTGCCAAATGCTTTGCCTTGTCTTGACAGTCCCACAGAGGGGTAATATCATTACCTGCCTTTTACAAACGTCAGCCTCCCAAAACAGAAGCCACAGTTCTGCCCCACACATTGCAGAGTCCTATTTTACTTTTCATTATTACTTACAATAAAAATATAAAAACACAAGGCTTTTCTAAAAAGGGTTTATATCAAAAAAAGAAAGGAACACTTGGTTCACTGCTAATACTCCCACAAAAAAAAAAAAAAACTGTTTTGTGCTTATTTTAAAATCAACTTTTGAGCAATGTGACTTATTTTTATATTCCCTGCCTTGTTCTGGGTAAAAATTTAGGAAGGAGCTTGTGATGCATCATTAAACAGTTTTTCCCATCATTTGATGACTGAGTTATTGGCACTAGATATAGCCATGGGGGGAAAAATAAATGTTTATGATGATTTAAAAGACCAATTACAAGCCTCTGCCTTATTCCTCACTCAGCATCCTGCATGGCATGTAAAAATGGTAATGAAAAAAAAATACTACATTTGAAATTTTAGCTGAGCAGAATGTCAGTTTTCAGTTACACTAAAAGAATAAAAAACATTAGGATACCATTAACAGTTTCAGAGTAATGGAAGCAAAGCAGGATTGTTTTCTATTATTATTATTACCGCCATTAATGGGTCAGAGCCTTCCAAGGGAGTAAGGCTGGGGACAACCCAGCCACTTTCAATAGAGCATTAACTCTTTCAGGTCAAAAGGGGCCCATTTAGAGGACTGCAGCAGTCATTTAATAAATGATACCCTTGTGGCCTCAAAGAATTTATCTCCTGTCTAAACAGTCTTGCTTACACATTTCTATTTTCTATATTCTATTCTAACAAATATTCCAGTAAGAGAAAAGGTTAATTTGCAGATAATTATTTAGGGAGGGAGGGAATATTTTTTAAAGCAGAAAAACAAAAACAACCCGTCACAGAGCATCAGTCACCGTGTGCAAATCTGGAAAAGGATAATGAACCTCATGAAGTAACAGAATTAAGCTGAAAAATTAGAGGTGCAAGATGGAACGATTTTCTTTCAAGGGAAGCTTGGTGAAATAATTTTTTTCCCCTTTGTTCGCTTTGTGCAGTTTATATGTGACTAAGTACAGCTAATCCTGTCTCTTTTCAAACGTTAATGTCAGCTACTAGAATAATCTGCTTTCTTGATTTAATTGCATAGTTTAACCTCTGACATAACCTTTTAATTCACACCATGACAGCCAACCTTACAGAAAGTTTTTCTAGAAATCTGAGTAACTTCCCCAAGGTAAGAGCTGCTTTCCCTCCTGTGGGGGTAGAGGGGAGCATTCTGCCCAAGATCATCAAATTCACCAGCTGCTCTGGGTGGAAAGGCCGCTGGCTTACTTCAGGGAAGAGGGGAGTTTATTAGCATGTCTGGTACAGTAAAAGCTGGCTGCACAACAATGTGAATGTATTCAACACTACTGAACTGTACACTTAAAAATGATTAAGAGGTTAAATTTTGTTTTTGTATATTTTGCTATAAGTATTTTTAACAATTTTCAAATTCTACATACTGTTATTCAATAGGAGGAGTGTGATATAGAATACTGATCAGACCATAGTTTGGGTAATGAAAGTGTTCAGGTCCATTTTGATTCAAATAAGGTCACAGAAAAAGAAAAGACTAAACATTATGCTGCTGTTTAGTGAATTGAATTGCATTTAGGGACTTGAATTCATAAGAATGTTTGAGCCTGGGCAATAAAGTGAGACTCTGTCTATACAAAATAATAAAAACAAATTAGCCAGGCATGGTTATGCACGCCTGTGGTCCCAGCTACTCAGGAGGCTGAGGCAGGAGGAACCCTTGAGCCCAGGAGATTGAGGCTGCAGTTGAGCCATGTTTGCACCACTGCACTCCAGCCTGGGAGACACAGTGAGACTGTCTCAAAAACAAACAAACAAAAAAAGTTTGGCTTCTTGAATTGCTAGGACAGAAGTCTCTAGCCATAGGAATAGTGTAAGGATTCTCACACTCTGAAGGGTTTAGTTTTTATATTGTGAACAAATGTGAATCTGAAAGAACCAATCCTTCAAGATGAATTCTGAGTGGCTAATTGGGCCTATATTTAAGATAGAGCGGAGCAGCCATTTGCTGAATAGAGTTTATACACTTTCTTACTCTGGGTTCCCCAAAACCCCACACCTTTTTAACTCTGGAACTTTCAGAATTTGCCTGAACTAATCAATCATAGCTCACCTGCCTCAGCCAATCAGGATTTTGCTGTATCAACCAACCAGGGCTCAGCTGTATTGATCAGTCAGAACTAAGCAAGTTTGAATCTCTCATTTGCATAAACAGACCTGATTGGGAACCTGGGTGGGAACTTTTACTATAACACCCAAACCTTCTTTTTGTTCTCTGGAATACTGCATCTCCCCAGTTTGCTAATTTTTCACTGGAACAAGGTCTCTTTCCTCCAACTTCCTTTTCAGAGAACTTTTCTGTGCAATATGAAGACCAGACAATGACTTAGGCAGTGTGGGACCTATATCTAATTGAGATTGGGCCATTTTTATAAAACTGAAAGAAGATAAAATCCTGATGTTACAGCCCTGATTTATACTTTCTCAAATTCTTAAGAAAGTTTCTTCTATTTCAGCAATCTAAGAAACATGATTGGGGAAACAATTTAACAGCAAGAAATTTAAATATATATGTGTGTGTGTACATATATATATATACACATAAATATATATATACACACATACAAATATATATATATATATTAATTTAAGCCACTGGAATACCTGAAGAGGAGACAAATATTAAGAGCCAACTTGTAAACATCACTTGAATTAATGAGTACCTGGCTTCTTAAAAGGCTAGGGCAGTTTCTGGCAATAGGTAGTATAAGGATGCTCAAGTACACTGTTATCAAGAATGAAAAGAAAGAGACCAGGAAGATGAAATAATAATCCAAGTCCAATCACATATTATTTTGGATTAAATTTCTTTGCAAAGAAATATAAAGTGAAGAAAGGGGGGAACATCTCTTCATTCAGTATCTCTCTTCTGTTGATGTTTTTGTTTAAATTCTTTCAATATCCTTTTATATCTTGGATTTTTCTCCTATGGTGAAATGATCATTCTTTGCTTATATAACCTCCCTAATGCTGTATTAAGAGTTTTTCCACATGATCAAATAAAAAGAGGGCTAGTGTTGAAAAAAATTATTTGTTTAAAAAAACATTTTTGATAATTAGAAAACGAATGGGAAATTTTCAACAAAGTGAACAAAAGCTACTGATGTGTGTAAGTTAAAACCAGGAAGACACACAAGTAGAATTAGTTTCTTTTTGTCTTCCTCTTCAACTACAAGGCATTCTCATCTACTCATCCATTTCAGGGGTAAACTCATGTATAAAATTTCTTTTTCTTCCTCTTTTTTATGGAAAAACAGGTACTTTTAATGTAGACAACCTGCCCAGGAGTTTCATCACTGGGCTATTTGAAGATGAAATGGCTTTGATTTGCTGATTGATACAAAACAGTTGCCTGCCTTCCGAGTGCAGGTTATATAGTGTCTTAGAAAAGTAAAGTACTGACATTCTGGAAAGTTTTTACTATATTTTGTACAAATCAGTCTATGATGTGAGGCATGTATTTTCCCAACTTAGGAAAAAAAGTGGATTTCCTGGTTTGTTACAATTGCAGAGATTAAGGGTGTGCCTGGGACTTTGGGACAGAAATACTGCATCTCCCTAGTTTGCTAACTGTTCACTGGAACAAGGTCTCTTTCTTTCAACTTCGTTTTCAGAGAACTTTTGTGTGCAATATGAAGACCAGAAAATGACTTAGGCAGTGTGGGACCTACAAGATGGGTCACTCGAGTTGGTCCCTGGCTCCACCTTGCTCTATGATTACCTGGTATTCTGTTTCTAATTTTCAAATTCTTTTCAGTACCTGAGATGCTAAAGTAGATGTTTATTTAACATGATCATCCCCAACCCTTTTGTCTTTAGACCTGCCCCTTCTTTCTTGCACCTGTCTGCTATCACAGTCATGGAATCTTATACCCTTGAAATGTTTACGGCTTCATTTTATGGCTGCCTATGCCCCTCCCCAGCAGCCCAGCAGCCACTCTAATGTAAGAAGCCCTAAATATTGTTGCCATGGGTGACACCAGAGCATCGAAAATGGCAGAGCTCGACTAATAAAAAGGCTTTCACAGTGTTTCAGCCTTTGCTCATAAGTAAAGTTAAAATTTATGGCTTTTAAAATACTGGATCTGGAAGAGGTCAGGTTAAACGGCTGCTAGTAATAAAAGGAATCAATACGCCACAGCATCTTGAAACAGCCAGCAAACTAAATAAACACTTCATCCAAATCCACTTGGCCCTGAATTAAAAGAACATAAAATACTGTATTTATTTGGTTTGTTCCCCATCCATCAAGAGCTTACTTCTTTAGGCCTCAACAAATTCTACCCAAGACAAGTATCAAATGTTTGTTAGCCAAGTGGCAATTATAGGACATGTCAAGGCTCTGGGTAATTAACTAAGTGTTAACTTTATCAAGGAACCACTTGTAGATTACTTTACTATAAATGTACAAATAAGACAAACACAGCTTGATCTGGGGAGACAACAGATACTTATTTACAAAACTGACATCGGAATTTGATATTCTCTGAGAACCAAAGCCCTCCCTTAAGAAAAAAGAGAAGGAAACAGAAAAGGTTTTCAATAGTTCCTTTCTCCCAGGCTGAACTCTGAAACTTAATCTAGAGTTTGGAATAAAAATTAAACCATTTGCTCTAATGAACAAAGTCACAAGTCTGAAAACCAAGAACAGTCGTGAATTCCATTGAAAAGAGAAAAAGTAATTTTGAAAGCAGGGCAAGTACAGATGATCCCTTTGATGATTTTTTTCTTCACTTAACATTATCCAAGGCACAAAAATACCATCTACTTTTCTTTGGTGACAAACAGTTTAATAACCTGTTAATGTTATTTTTCTGTTCCAAAGTTCATGCACGGGAAAAAGGAGTAGTGACTGTTATTTTGTCCTAAAGCAATTTTTTTCCCTGAAAGGTATTATATGAGAGCTATTTATGTCAGAGAATGGCAACTGCTATTCCTACCTTTAGACAGAAGAAATCCTAACACAAAGAGACTCTTTTACCCTTCTCTAATAGCTTATGGTTTAAAATTTTAAATGTAGCTTTGCTTTTCATGGTTCAGCACAAAGTATGACTCTGGAATGAAAATAAGTGGTCACAATTTATAGACATCACAGGTAAAATAGGGATACTTATTTTTTGTAGCTTCAGGCTGTATTTAGGCTCCCTGCTGGGAGTAATCTTGGATTTCAGAAACCCAGCTTTATGGTTAGAAACACTGGAGAACTTACTTCCCAGAACGTGCCTCTCTCTGGTTTGGTTTGACTCTGCTAGAAAATGGAGAACGTTTACCAAGAGGGGGTTCATTTTAGGGAAGTGATGTCCCTTCACTGAAATGGAACTGGCTGAACCATCAAAAGCAACCTTTCCCGCTTGGAGACTCCTGCATGCCATGACGTGACTCAGAAGAAGCTTTGCAGAGTTTTAGGGGAGGACTCTCACATTGCACAGAGGCGATTCTAAGGTCTAAACTTCATAAATAAAAGCAGTGATTGAAGGAGAAACTCTGTTCTAAATGGTATGACATCCATTTAGCTTCCCCTTTGGACAATCTGATGTTTTAATAATGCCATTGTGAAATTATGGCAAATGTACATAATTAACAAGGCAAAAAGCTGAAAATAGGTAAAAATATAATGAGGAAAATGAATCATGGATGAAATCCATGAATAGGACGAGTCCTCCAATGGCGTTAGTTAGCCTCAGAGGCAGTGAGAACAGCACAAACACGTGTGAGGTATAGTTCCAGCATGTGTAGGTGATAGAGGCTATAGTGTCCCAATGTTTTGGGAAATCCAGAGGAAACATTTCAAGAAGTAAAGAATTCTGAAATGCTACTAATATTGGAAGTAGAAGGAGAGGATGTGTTGGCAACATGACCACTTATTTCGGCAATTCTTTTAAAAGGTAAGGTTAAATTTGGGGGGAAAATTTAGTATAATAATTAAAGAGATTGGGCAATGAACAACTGTTTTTTTTTTTTTTTTTTTTTTTTTTGAGACAGATTCTTGCTCTGTCATCCAGGCTGGGGTGAAGTGGTACGATCTTGGCTCACTGCAAGCTCCGCCTCCTGGGTTCAAGCAATTCTTTCGCCTCAGCCTCCCGAGTAGCTGGGATTACAGACGCCCGCCATCACACTCAGCTAATTTTTATATTTTTTTGTAGAGACAGGGTTTAGCCATGTTGGTCAACCTGGTCTCGAACTCCTGATCTCAAGTGATCCAGCTGCCTTGGCCTCCCAAAGTGCTGGGATTACACGTGTGAGCCACAGCGCTCAGCCTATGAACAACAGTTATTATAAAGTTTAGTGGCTTCTTAAAGTTCTGAATTAGAATTAAATTGAAGTTTCATAAGGAGTTAAGTAGGCACAATTTTTCATTCTATTATGGAAGACTTGTAGAAAAATTAAATTCATTAATTTGTCGTGGAAGAGGCACACAAGTCTCTCGAGTGCTCAGCAATTGTTTTATTTATTTCTAAGTCCCTAAAGCTTCTCCCACATCAGCTAACTCAAAACCTTCCAAAACAGAAGCCTCCCATTTCTGTATTTCTCTTTATCAGACCTTTGAAAAAAATTCCCTAATTTTCTCCTTCCTCAACCTCAAAATGGTCTCTGCATCTAACCTGTCTTCTTAGCCTTATGTATGAGGGACCCCTCTCCCCCCCAAGCCTATCAGTCGTCCAGTTCTCTCTAGTCCCCGAAATCTTGAAAATCTATTCACTGAAATCATCCCTTGAGTCTCTCCTAAAAACCCTGCAAGTACTCTCACTTCTATCCTTTTCTTTCTTTTATTGCCAAGTTGGAGAACCCAGAGGTGTCATCCAGGAAGTCGACTTTCTCCTTGCTCTCTGTACCCCCTGCCATATGGTTTCTAGCTCCAAGGCTTCCCTAAAGCTCCAAGGTCACCAATTGCCTCCTAATTGCCAGAACCAATAAACTTCTTTCAGTCCTTATTTTGTTTGATCTCTTCTCAGCACTCGCTACCTTTGCTTAACCCTTCCTACTTGAAATCCTATCCTCCCTCCGCGTCCAAGCATGGTGCTACCTGGTTCTTCTCACAATATATTTATTCCTTCTTGGTCTCTGGTACCAGTGCCCTTTCTTTCTCCTTCCCCCAAATGTGGGCTTTCTCCAAGGCTTAACTCTCAGCTCAATACTGTCTTTATTTATACACTTTCTCCCTCTGGGCATCTGTTTCCAGGATTTTTGATTGTCTGGTCAAATTACTCCTGTAGGGCTCCCTTTGGCTTTCAGAAGGTCCAAACTCCTCGGGATGATTTACAAAGGCCTTCTTGACCTGGCCTCTCTCACTCATCTTACTTCACCTCTCTTCTCCTTCCTTTGTTCTTCCCCCCACAGTCCAAACTCCAGCCATTTTGAACAAATTGCCATACTTCAAAGACATCAGTTCCCTCCCTCCTCCATTGGGTCTCTGCATCTGCCGTCTCTCTTTCTAAGATTCTGTTCTCTCCTCTCCTTACTGGCCATTTTTTAGACATCACTTCTACCAGGAAGCCTTTCCTAACCACTTCTATGTCAAAAAAGAAATTAGGAGAGAAAATCTGCCAGATCTCTCATTTCTATTACCACAATGTATTATAATAATGACTAATATATATTTATTGAGTACCAAGCATTATTCTAAGTGCTATACTGTACAGTATTCACAAGTTTAATCCTCACCACAACTCTTGGATGTGAGTGCTATTATTACTGTCATTTATATAGAGGAAAACCTGGGAACAGAGAGGTTAAATATCTTGTTCAAGGTCACACAGCTAATGAACAACAAAACTGGGATTTGAACCCAAGCACACTCCCCATTCTGTACATTGTTTGTGTATATACCTGTCTTCCTTGCTAAGCTTTTTGAAGGCAGTGATGAAGTCACGGTCACTTTTCTATCAACGGCCAGCAGAGTGAATACTCAAGGATTATTCGTTGTCTGGCAAATGGAACCTTCCTGACTGTAACCTAGAAGGTTGCCTCTCCTTAATTCCTGAAGAGCATGGACTCTTGTTTAATTGTATCCCTGTTGTTACAAATATGCAGATCACTCAAACATAACAACTAGCAGGTATGGAGGTTGTCCTAGGTGCCAGAAATGGAGCTAGGTGTTCCACACAAATTCTCTCACCCCACTTCCACCTGTGAGGTGGATATTATTATTACCCATCATTTAAAGCTAAATAAGCTGAGGCTCAGCATGACTAAGGGTCACACAGAGAGCCAGCTATGGGGCCAGGACTCAAACCCAGGTCTGACAGCAATATCCATGTGGTTAACCACCAATCTATAGGTCTCTCTAGCAGGATGACAAATTTTCTAACAGCCAGAGTCCCTTGGGCTTCTCCTCCTATAGATTTCACAGGAAGCTCAGAGGCAGGAGTTTCTGTGTAAATGTCGGCTGATAAAGCGCTGCAAGCCACTTTGGAGCTTCTCTGACTTCCCCGGAATAAATATCCCCCAACGTTGCCGAGAAGGGCCATTTGTGAGATGGTGGGTGCTGCTCCCGCTCCCGAAGGCCCCGCCTAGCTCCTCATTGCCAACCTGCTTCTCCCTGCAACTCCTTTGTCTTCTTTTAAATTCTTTCAGAAAGCATTTTCTTGGTGAAGCTTTTCACCAGATTTACTTGTTGTTTCTTCTGTTAAGGATAAATAAGAAAAGAAAGGAGGAAAATACCACAAATGCTGTATAAATACCAAGGAACTGGAGGTCTTTGAGATTTCGTGATCTTTTCAGAAGACATATTTTCTCTCTAGGTTGTTTGCCAAGGCTGTCAGCACCAGGCGCCCTGCTGGCTCACTACAAAAGGAAGGAATGGCAGAGGGATGAGACTGCTAAATGCTCTTCCCATCCACATTTCTACTTCCCCTGTTTCTTTCAAATATGTCTTCCTGTATCAGCGGCTAATGTATGCCATATTTAATTCACTGTGTACATTACAAATTTCAGGAACAGAAATCCTTAATGAAGGCAACAACTTCAGTTACTTGTATTAAGACTAACTCTTAATAGATTTCTCAGACTAAATAATGATAATATGAACACACCTGAGATTACTGTGTCTGCTTTCCATTAATGCAAACACCATTCTCATAACCATTAAGAGAAACCTGTATTAGCATTTGAACAACTGTTGATATTGATATGAAAAGATCCCTGCTAAATTTCTTTTCTCTCATTAGGACATCTAATTGAACCTTTTTTTTTTTTTTTTTTTTTTTTTGAGACAAAGTTTCACTCTTGTTGCTCAGGCTGGGGTGCAATGGTGCAATCTCGGCTCACTGCAACCTCCGCCTCCCAGGTTCAAGCGATTCTCTTGCCTCAGCCTCCCGAGTAGCTGGGATTACAGGTGCCTGCCACCATGCCCGGCTAATTTTTTGTATTGTTAGTAGAGACAGGGTTTCACCATGTTGGTAAGGCTGGTCTCGAACTTCTGACGTCAGCTGATCCACCTGCCTTGATCTCTCAAATGGGATTACAGGTGTGAGCCACCACACCCTGCCCTAAATGAACTTTTTATCCACAGCTCTTGATTTTCAATAGATAAAATATAGAAATCAGAATTAAAAACAATAAAGACCCCAGATTTTTTATGCTATTATGAAGTCATTATCAACTCTTTTGGGTAATCTAAAGAGGGTGGTGACTCCTGATTTTTATAGCCGAATCTCTTAGATAAATATTTTGCCATAAGACACATGAACTTGTAATTCATGACCTCATAAGAATGTGCTTTTCAGAGACTAATTTCTCTTTTCATTATCTTTCGTCTTCTCATACAAACTGTTAATTGTATTTTCAGTGCATGGTAAATACAAGGAAGTTTTTGCTAATCTGTGAAACTCGAGAGACTTTTTTTTTTTTTAATTTTTCCCGTTCAACAGGGCACCGAAAGAAGCCTAACAGTGGCCTTGGGTTTGATTTGTGATTATATATTACCCCTTCAGTCACTTCCCTCTCAAGCAGTCTGAAATCAGAAGCGAGCCTTACTCACATTTTTTCTCTTATGTTTAAACATGTATTCAAAAGGCACACAAGCAGTTAGAAACCTAGAAGCAAGTAAAGCAAATAAAAGCCCTTTGAAGCCACAGACCACTTTACAACACAGGACAATAAAAATTAAGGAAATGATAAACATGGGAATTGGCTGAAGAAAGAATATTTAGTAAAATGACAATTCTGCTTTTTACCAGTTTTCTGAGTGGTTTAAAACACAAGGTAATATTATGATATACATACTATAGACAACTTGCTGAAAAGCCAAGAAGAGAAAATGTTATGGATTCTTTATAAAATAATATAATGATTTCTGTAGAGGGCTTAAAAGTTGCATAATAAATTCTGCATTTGGTGCTAACTGAAGAATTAATATTCAGATAGAAATATTCAGGTAGATAATTGATATTAATATTCAGATAGATAATATTCAGATAGAAAGTAAGTAGAAATGATTTATAAAAAAATCAATGTAAAAGTATACCATGTAAATTAAGGGATATCAGGAAAGGGGTTATTAAAAAAAGCAATGTACCACACATTTAATACTATTCATATTTAATAATTAATGTTTAATAATAAATATTGCAAGAACTTACCAATGAGGTGAATAAGATTACTACAGGTTTCTTCCTCAGTAATATTAAAGTCACTGCAATATAAGTTACTAAAAGCACTTAAGGAATGGAATATTTTCCTTTATACATCAGGAATGAAATCAGCTGATTATTCTTGCAAATTTTCTAAGTTTCAAGTATATAGTATATCCTAATACCAATATGCTATAGTGAAGGGAGGTAAACATGTTGCCTATTCACACAAAGAAATAAAGAGTAGAAAGAATATAGGTACTAAATTCTCTTCAGAGGTTATAATATATATGAAAATTATAGGCAATAGTAATTTATCTAAGATAAAGATATATATACATATGAGGGAAAATAAAATAGACTTTTTTTAAAAAAACTATATTTGTCCAGATCTAGATGAGCTGAGCTAATAATATGGATAACACAAAACAGGAGCCAATCCTCAAATGTGCAATGAAGTAACCAGAGTAATTACACACACTCATGGTGGTGTGTGCTCTGCAACCCCTGGGGGACTGCTGATATGATTCACATGCAGCCTTTATAAATGACCCTCACCCCCACCACAGAGCTGTACAACCTGGTGGACTTGTAACAAAAGTTCAAGATCATAGATAACTTACAAAAGTAAAACTTCTAACTATGTTTACAAATATTAATCCATTTGGCCGCAGAATACGGTGCGACTGTATACATTGTGAGTCAGCATGATACACAGCACAAGGTAGGCATTTAACAGGTGTTGGCCAAGTGAACACATGACTGATGAAATAAACAAATAGAGTGTCTTCCATACTGTAAACTCATGACATCTCAAAGAAGAAAGTGAAGACCTGATCTAGGAGGAGTTAGTGAACTCTTACGCAAATCCATTTTGTATTTTTACTCAGTATTTCTCACCTGGATTCATGGTCAAGATTGAGAAGTCTGGCTCCAAAGTAGTTGCTCCTTTAGATAGCTGCCTGCATGCTTTATACTTTTGCTGAAGGAAGAGCTGGTCATTAGAGGGAAAGGCCCTCCACAGCAGCTGATCTGACTATAAAGAAAAAACTCACACGTGCTTCTGCTCTGGCATTGTTTTGTTAGGTGAAGGAGTGGAATTCACAGTAAGTATAACAAAGGAGCGAACTCTTTCCACTGGGTGACAATGCAAAGAAGAAATGGATAGCCAGGTTTTCCAACAATAGTGGGAATTCAGGGCATTCACCCTTTGGTAACTGAGAGTTGATTGTATATATGAATAGTTAGCTGCAACTGTTAAAGTGAAAATTTAGATTAAGAACAAACATTGAAGCAATCAACACAATCTAATATTCATGAAATTTCTGCAATGTATGTGTTAGTTGCTGTTCAGAGAACACTGAACTAGTTTACAGATAATTTTCAATGTCTACATTGGAAAACTACTTTATTTCCAATTACTTCAGGTATTTTAAGTTAAATTTAGGGGAAAAACTGATATAAAGAGGATGATTTTGATTTGGCTAACTTATCTGTCTCATGTATAACTACTTATTGTTTATGCCAAATAGTTTTTCAGCTTCTTTTTAACAAAATCCTGACTTTGGAGTAGCAACCTGACTAGTTAAAAATATTCATCTCTCCAGATATTCATGCGGTTTTTTGTTTTCATGTAATGGTTTTGAATAATAAGACACGGATGAAGCATCTGAGGTTAAGTTTTTGGACAGCTATTATTTTCCAAATAAAAGGGACAGAATTATGTCTTTTGTCCTTCACCTGTCCTCCTTCTTCCTGCCTGGCACATGGAGGGGCAGCAGCCATCCCACAAACATGAGGTTGGAAGCTACACGGTATGGATGGAGACGCAGGAGGCCAGAAGTCTGGTATTTGATGACTTATTTGAACAACTGTACCAACCCTAGCCTGCCTGCCTCCTCTGTCCTTGATGCCAGACAAGAAGAAACCCTTTTTTTAGTTAAGCCACTGTTATCAATTATCTGTTATTTGCAGTCAAACACATCCTAATTGTTAAAACAAGTAATCATAAGTATTCAATGGTCCTTATATAAAATATACTAAAGTTTACCTATTTTAACACCAGCTATTAGTGCTTCTTATTTATGGCAAATACGGTCTATCAGATACAAATATAATTGTGGGGAAAATAATTATAGAAACGAGGGGACAGGTGATCTGAAATAGAACTAAGAAAATAAATAACAAAGTGGTAAAATATATATTGCCATATTTACCTTGAAAAATCAAATTAAGCAAAATTTTATTGGTATCAATCTTGTTATCACCCATTCAGAAAACAAGACAAAAATAAAGCATCTTCTTTTTTTTTTTTTTTGAGACAGAGTCTCACTCTGTTGCCCAGGCTGGAGTGCAGTGGTGTGATCTCAGCTCACTGGAAACTCTGCCTCCCGGGTTCAAACGATTCTCCTGCCTCAGCCTCCTGAGTTGCTGGGACTACAGGTGTGCACTACCATGCCTGGCTAATTTTTGTATTTTTAGTAGAGACGGGGTTTCCCCATGTTGGCCAGGCTGGTCTCAAATTCCTGACCTCAAGTGATCCACCCGCCTCGGCCTCCCAAAGTACCGGGATTATAGGCAGGAGCCACCGCACCCAGCCGAGCATCTTTCACTAATCTTGGTATAAAAGGCTAATTATGCTGTTAAGATGTAGCTAATTTAAGATTTAAATAACTTTTAAGTCTGATATGTTTTCTTTTAAAAGCAATATGGGAGCATCAGTGGAAAGTTGAGGATAGTGGTTTCCAACCTGGATTCCCAATCCACATTTGGGGGCCCCTGAAGGAAATACTAGGCAATAATAATGAAGATCTGAAAAGTTATTGCTAAGTATCAAAATGAAGATTCACAACTACATCTTACTAAGCTCACATACTTTCCAAAAGAGCAAATATTTCTGCTTTGGGCTGAAATTATGTCAATTTAGAGTAATAGTTATCTCATGTAGATCAGAAATTCTAGTGTGTTTGTGTATATTTGTCTGTGTGTGTGTATATGTATGGCATATTTACTTGTAATATATGTCAATAATTAAAAGTTGAGCAATCAATCATGATCACATAGCAGTGACTTTTATCAGTGAATAAAATCCTTCAAATAAGGGGATTATGGGGGTGTCCCACCATCATCCACTGTAGCAAATGCATGACACTGTGGTTTCCTATATTATCAAGTGACTCTGAAGGTCCTTGCCTGGTAGCAATCTGATATTTTGCTAAGGCTTGAATTTAAAACACTTTGCAGAAAGCACACCTGGAACAAAGCCTAGCTTCTGAAATCCTTAAGAGTATGATTTTTTTCTTCTCTGCTTGTTTTTGGATATATAGAAATTCTCCTCAAGTGATTATTTAAGGTACACTTCAGGTAAGCTCATGGTAACAGAGTAATGTAATAAATGGTAAAGTTCCTTTTAGTGGCAGAATGTATTATTTTTTGTGGCATGGCAGTCTCTGTTGGTTGGTCATCCCACCCCCATTTCCAGACACCTTTTTCCTTTTTTGCCTCTGGAGGAGAGGCGAGAAAATCCGGTATGTTCTTACTTCCTAGCCTTTGAGGCCAGGATTGGCAATGAGCCAATTCTGGACAATGAGCTATGTGTGGAAATGTGTTAAAGCCGTCTGGGGGAAGACCTTAGCTTTTACTGGTAAGATAAATAAGGCTGGCACGCTCTTTTCCCTCCCTTTATCCCTTCCTGTTTTGCCTAGATCTACTGCAAGATGGTCAAGTGGAAGAATCCCAGAGAATCAGAGATACAACCAATCTGATATCCACTGAAATCTCCCTCCTCTTCCCTGCTAGCAGCCGCCCATTTCTATACTACTTACTAGGTGAGAAACAGGAACTTTACTTCTTTATGTCACCAATAGTAGGGTGTTCTTTCTTTCTTTCTTTCTTTTTGTTTTTTTTTTGAGATGGAGTCTCACTCTGTCACACAGGCTGGAGTGTGGTGGCATGATCTTGGCTCACTGCAACCTCCGCCTCCCGGGTTCAAGCGATATTCCTGCCTCAGCCTCCTGAGTAGCTGGGATTACAGACACGTGACATGATACTTGGCTAATTTTTGTATTTTTAGTAGAGACAGGGTTTCACCATGTTGGTCAGGTTGGTCTCTATCTCCTGACCTTGTGATCCGCCTGCCTCGGCCTCCCAAAGTGCTGGGATTACAGGTGTGAGCCACCATGCCCAGCCACCAATAGTAGGGCTTTCTGTTATCTGCAGCCTAGAGCATTCCTAACCAACACAAATTGTATTATGAATTAATTTAGTCCTGTATTTAGATATTATTATTACTGACAGGATATTCTTTACTTTTAAAATTTTTTTAAAATTTTTAACTTTGAGTACATAGTAGGTATACATATTTGTGGGGTACATGAGATGTTTTCATACATGCATGCAATGTGAAATAATCACATGATGGCGAATGGGGGTCTCCATCCCCTGAAGAATTTATCCTTTGTGTTACAAACAAGCCAATTACACTCCTTTAGTCATTTTAATGTATTTAGGTATTATTGTCTGAAGTTGTCCCTTAAAATCTTCAGTTATTATTTGCTGTATTCTAGGGAAAAAATTACATGTTATACTGATATTGGTGAATTAGGATATATTGATGAGAGTATCCAGATAATTCTCTAGAAAATACTGAGTCTATGATACATGCCAGTAGGAGAGAAGCACATAGCTGCCTTTTAGCTTATCCATTTCCCCTTGCTTGCTCAACTTGGTAAGTACTCTTCAGATCTTAATTTTTGTTTTTGCAAGTGAATTTTCTTACTAGGAAAAGAAATATTTCTGACAGCTAAAATGACTATTCCAGTTCAGTGGGAAATTACTAATTATGCCTTGTCACAGAGTAATGCATTTTTGTTTGTCAGGTGTAAGTGTGGTTATTGAGAATCAGCAGCCCAGCAGCCCAATTGCCCCTGAAGGAACTTTAAAAAAAAATCAGTGAAATTCCTGAATATAAATTCCTGAATATAAAAGTTCTTGGAAATCTTAACAAGGTACTAACTTTGCTTTCTCTCTCCTTACTCCTAAGACATTACCTGAAAAAGCCTCCTTGTTTCCTTTATCATGAATGAATGATGTCACTAGTAAAAAGGATGAATAAATTGAAATTGGGAAACAGTTTGAAATAAGTCTATTTAATTATAAGAGTATGTCATTATTTTTATAGGATTAAGTACCAAAAAGTTTTGAATAAAATACTCAAGGCACCTTTAATCATTGAGAACTTAACATTGAGGAATTAGAAAATTACAATAAAGTTAGTTTCTGTTTAGGTAGGAATTTATCCAGTCTGTTTATCTGAAGTCAAATGCAAAAATTCTGAGTTTTGAGTGATTTACATATTTAAACAAGTCTAAAGTGACCTAGGTTCAAATCTAGACTCTGTTCCCTACTATTTGCCTCAAAACCTCAATTTTCTCATCTACAAAATGGAATAATACCTATTCTTTGAGCTTCACAGGTTTTTGAAAAATGAATGATTTATACTTATTTTATTCATACTTGGGTACACCTTTTATTCAAGACTATACTCTTTTCTTCCTTTTGAGAAACTTTAGTCCGCAAATAACATCACTGGTAAGACAGTCTCTTATTACCTTATTAATGAGGTTGTTAAAATGAGGTAATTTATTTTCCTCCTTCCACCTTTATTCTAGCCAGCATCACTTAAAACCATGCATTTCAATATTTTCCCCAAAGAGCTGAGAAGTCTCTTCTGTCAAATTGGCACTATATTCCTCAAAATTATACTTCATTTTATTTTAAAACTTATTTTGGACTCATCATATATCTCAGAAGTAAAATTTTAAATATACCACTTCCAGACCTGTATTTTTACTTTTTATCTGCAAATTACCGCCTCCTAATACTAGTGGCATTAGAGCACTTTCCACCTGATTTCAAATCAGATTTTTCTACGTCCTTGAAACTCAATTTTCTTTCTCTTATTTTCCAGTGGACTTTTAACACCCAGAGAAGCATAGAATCTTAAGAGGGCTGACCAGTAATGTGAATCAATACTGGCTTCTGCCACGATCTTTTACCTCAAACCTCTAACAATTCTTTTGTTCAGTGTTAAGAAAAAAGTCAATTTGATTTCCAAGTTGATGCTTATTTTTCTCCCAATATATTGGAACCGTTCTCAAAAACCAATTATATGAGTGAGCTTAATCAGTCTGTCTTCATGCTTATTTACTTTCACTAATGCATGTATGTCACAAGACATCGTGATGCAAAACTGCTAATTTATTTTGTGATCAGATCCCTGATGATCAGCAGTTCCTTCTTGGGCTTGGTATTAATGAGTTCTTGCAGTTGACTCTAAAACATTTCTGTGTCAGCATTCTTTCTCATTGGAGAAGGCAAGGAGTTGAATGATGGCTATGTTCACTAGGGCTCACTAGCTAAAGGTCCTGGGATGAGAGAAGGCCTGAAGTTTAGCCTAAGAACTTGATTAATAACCAATAGAGTTGGTGCCATATAAAATATGGTGGCAGCCTCTTTTATTACAGTATTAAGAAAAACATCCTTCCTCTGGTTTAGAGATTAGATTAGTTATCTTAAATGTTTGAGGTTCTTTATGATGCCCTAAGAATTTTACCTTCTTAAAACCAAACATCAGACTGAAGGACATGCTTAGAATAGCTAGAACCTTAAAATTTCATATTTTTATTGACTATTACTATTTGTTGAATGTATTTATTCTATCTTCACCCCTCTATCTGCCTTTTCTTTAAATGAAGCCAGCTTGTAAACTCAAATCCTTTGCTGCTGATATAAATTACAGTGAGATTAAAGTCACCTCATAGGACTGCGGAATCATTAAAATTAGGGCATACCATGACATTTGCATGACATTTCTGCTTCTGAGCTTGCTTTTGCTCTCCCTGCTGCCTGGAATGCCTTCCCCTCTCTTCTACAGTGATACAAATCCAACCAATCCTTCTGAAGCTCAAGCCAAATCCTTCCTTGATGAATACAGCCCCGCTGATCTTGCCCATCTCTGAGCCCTGTTGCCCTATTGTCTGTGTCACACAATTTGGCACCTTCTATTTCAGAGGTTACTGTTTATAAATCACTTGATCTTAATTGTTTCCCATGTGTAAGTTTTACCCTCTCTGAAATCTATGCCTTTTAATTTTGTGGATCCTCACAGTACCTTATACAATATCAGTACATAGCAAGAAGTCAAGAAATAGTTTTTTATGCCATAATTTGCAAGAGCATATAAATGTTAAAAGAGTCTGTTAACAGTGTTGGCTGAAATGGAGAAATAGCATGGGGACTGTAAAAGAAAAATAAGAAACAGGGAAGTTTAGAATGATTTCTCCCCTTTGAAAATAAATCCGAAGTATGCATTTGTAAAATTTCACAATGAGCTAGACTAGCTTGAGTTTTAGTAAAAACTCTGAAAAAATAACTGCAGATATTTCAAATTGTTTGAGAGGAATGCCTTTTTTTCTTTTATTGTCTTCTTCTTTAGCACATTAAGATTGAGGATGAGATCGTTTTTGTTGAAAATCCTTTTAACAGCCCTGACTATAGGGGCAAGTCAATAACAAGCCCTAAAACTGGCATATCTTATTGAAAATCACTTATATTCCCTCAACCTGAGTCTGAAAACCACAGGTTCTAGATAAATCAACAAAAAGAACACCACCATTTCTCATCTCTTCTTTCCTGGTTGAATCAGAGACCAAATATTGAAAAGAATCCTTTAATTGCTAAAAGAATAGAATCAGTAGTTCAAATCTAGTTAAGCAGTTAAGCCAAAATCATGTTTCTTGAAATTATTCAGAGTGAAGCAAGGGAGAAAGGTCAAAAGAGACACAAGAATGCAACAGAAAATAGCAACAAACACCACAGTAATTGCAACCACTGACTGAGTACTTTCAGTGTTCTAGGCACTAAGCTAAGTATTTTCCATGTATTAACTCTCTCAAAACTATATATCTGTATATGTGACTACAGAGAAATTATAAATTAAGCAACAAGTTGCTATGACTCCAATTAAGACTACAATAATTGTATTTTTGACCTATAATGTTTGCATGGAGTTAGGAGCTTAGAAAACAGAATTCATTTTCATTTATTTATTTTGGTTTGCCATCTCATTATTATGTCTTCTTAAAATACAACTGCATCTTGAATTAAATAAAATAATGTTCACTTTACTTCTTGTTCTAAATTCAGTGAATTTTCTGTGTCGAGTTAAACAGTTGCCAAATTCCATTTCAGCTTTCAAAATTTATTCTAGAGGTAACTGCATTTTAGTGTTGAATAAACTCTATTTGGTGGGTCTGGGAGACATTAAATCAATAGACATTTAGTCAAAAATTACTTTTTCTCCCTTGAAACGGAAGTCTAAAAGGCAAAGAACAATCTGATAAGAAGCTATGTCTTTTCAAGGATTTGGTGATATAATCTTAGCGTAAGAAACATTTTAACTTTTTAGTATGATGTTTCTAATGAGTCTTCTGACTGATGCCTTATAGGATGTGCATGCTGCTTTTAACAAAAATCAAAAGCCCTTCTCTCAAGATTTATGTTTTATATCACAGATGAAGTACTAAAATGATAAAAATCTGTATGAACAGAAGATTTCTAAACTCTACTTGATAGCCCATTTAATTTAAAAATATGTATTTGATAAAATTCATCTCTGAAAATTCCAAAGATTTGAATAATCTTTTAACTTTACTACAATAGCATGTAACTTGCACCTAATAAATATCGTGTTAAAAAGAGCACTGAATATTAATTTAAAAATTAAGATATCTCTCTTGTTACTAATGTTTTCCTATAAAATATTGTTTTTCCTTTTTGTGAATAAAACAATGAAAAGTGACATCAAAATAATTATATTACACTGAACATCTCTTCGGTGAAGTCTCGGTATATCAGCAGCAATTTCTACTTTTTCTCTGAAAGTAGAAAATCAAAAAGCACCTGAGATTTCACCCTAATCTACACATATCAGGAATCGTCCCATTTGTAGGCAGAAAAGCAATGTCCAAATTACATCAGCACATCAAAACCCAAGGAAGAAAAAGAAGCTACAGAGCCCTTCACATTAATTTCAAAAGTAAATAAACCAAATGATTACTAACATTTAGAGACTGATGATCAGATCCGCCAACTTGAAAGTGCATCGATTCCATGTATCACCCCAATCTTCCCTGAAGGCTCGTGTGTATAGACATTTTGTGCTTATTCTTGGAAGACCTTGCTTTGTCTAAGTCTCTTGTAAATATATCTTACACACAATAATGTGATGAAACTCTATGTTCACACCACTGAGGCTAATAGAACAGAACCGATTACCATTCTTGCCTAAAAAATGAAGTATTAATTTATTTGAAGTAAGCTATTGGTGCCACATCTATCCGGTTTCGCTGTTGATATTTTTCCCTGGTTGTTCCGAGGGAAGCAAAAGTTAAAGTAATTTTTGTCAAAACTTCAGCATTAATGCCAACAAACACAAGCAAGAAGTAGGCAAACTAAGATTTATGATCACATAAACAGGAATCACCAGTTTACAATAGATAAAATGAAGTCACTTTTTGCAAACCTGTAATTTATATGTATGTGTGTAAAAAAAAGTATTTTCAAATAACAAGAAAAATTTTCTACTAATCTCTGAAGATGAAAACAACAAAAAGAGAAAACCCTATATTTGTATTACTAATCACTTTAGGAAGACCATATCATCATTTATTCAAAATTTATTTTTACTAAATGGAAAAATGTGGATAAGCTGACTTTTGTCAGTTGATCAAAACAGACAACTAATATGATTTAAAGAAAGCATATAATTGCATTTTAAAAGAAATCATAAGATTATGTTCACAAAATCAGTGCAAATTTCATTGTATGACTTCTATGTTCTCATGTCTCACTAATATTTAAAAACTTGAACAAAGATCTCATTTTTCTGTTTAAGATCCTCTGTAAATATAAATATATAAGTCAATTTAACTTAGTATCCAATTTGTAACTGCTAGAAACTTTGCATTTCCATGCAGCTGCTAATTTTCAGAGAAAAATTCTAGTTGTTTCAAACCACTGAACATGATAATAGCAAAAATGAGACTGATCATTAACTCTAGTAACTGCCTTTGCCTTCATCTTAGGCTTTTAGTTAACCAAAAAACTAATGGCTGTTACCCCCATCAAAGAATTATTACTTAATTTAATCTGTGCAATCTTGTGGACAAATTCAATATTCAACTACCACCTCTAATGCAGATGACTTCTAAATCTGTATCGCTAACCTTGATTGATCTCTCTGGAGCTCCAGACTCATACTTTCATTCTCATAACTTGACCCTTCTTCATGATTCTTTCTATTAAAGGCACTACCTTTCTTCTGATCTTCTAGCCTCAAAGTCTCAGGTCAGCTTTGGGTCCTTCCTGTCTCTTGTTTACAAATATAAAAAAGTGTCAAGTCCTATCCACCTGTCTCTGCCACATTTTATAATACATTTATCATTTGTGTCCTATTCTCTCTGACAATCTTCTTCCACTTCTCATTACTCTTTGTCTAAAATAACCTAGTAAATAGTCTACTTGTGCCTTTGCTTATCCTTAAATTTTGGCAATTCCTTGGGTTCGGAACTTTTATATATTCTGTATACAGATCCTTTGTTGGATATGTGTTTTTCAAATATTTTTAGTCTGTGACTTGTCTTTTCATTTTCTCAAGAGTATCTTTTGAAGAGTAAACATTTTTAATTTTCAGAAGATCTAATTTGTTGATTTTTTTGTACTTCCTGGTTTTAGTGCTCTAAAAAGTTCTGCTTAACCCACTGTAACTAAAATTTCTCCCATTTGTTTTCTAGAAGTTTTATAGTTTTAGTGCTCACATTTAAGATCTGTGAACCATGTCAGATTAGCTTCTTATATGGTGTAAGGTATAGACGGAGGTTATTTTTTCTTTTCTTTTTGCATGTGGTCATATAATTGTTCCATATTGAAGGTTTATAAGAAGTGAAATGACAGAATTTTACTTTAAAATGTTCATTCTGTTTGCTATTTAAATGATAAAGGGAAACTCCTTAGTAAGGACTTTCAGTAAATAGTTCCTGTTTGCACTGTTATCCACTGCTTTTGCTTGGACCTCCTCTTATGTTCCTTGCTGCTTCCATATATTCCCACTGTTTTTGCCCCACCACCTTTGTCACCTTGATTAATTCTCCTTGGATTAAAGGAAGGAGCCAATCAAGAGGGAAAATCTGAAGACAGAAGAGAAAGAACCATTAACTAATAGAACAAGGCTCTGAAATAAATAGTTGGGTACAGATTCAGAACACAGATGAGCTTAGAAAAGGGAATAACATATCTTCTCTAATATCCACCTCTTTTCCTTCATCTCTTCTTACTCTGTTATTTCTCCAGATTCATAAATTACCCCCATGGCAGTACCTTGGGCTTTCAATCTAGCTCTGTATTGTCTTTTGGTAGGATTCTATGCCTAGATCCAGAATTTTCAATGCCTGCAATTTCAAAAGAAGCCCTGACGGCTGATATACTCTGAAATGAATTGATTGCTCCAATATGTATTCATATCCAGAAATATAATTTTTAAGAAAAATTATTTGTCAGCACCTGAGAATAAAATGTAAAGCAATAAATGGACCCTCTGAGTTGTCCCTCTTTGCAGGTGTTGCTGTAGCCATTTCAGCTGACATGTAAGTTCCCAAAAACAGAGGTCAGGACTTTTCATGTCATGTATTCCCCTACATAGTGTTTAGTGTGACTTCTATGACTGCAATGCACTGAATGCATCTTAACTCACTGAAGACAATTCACAAGAAAATCGTTGTCTTTTAACACTCAAGTAACAACTTTATGGTCATAGGAAAAGGTGCTTCCCCTTTCTTATACTTTTGAAACAACACAGAGGTGATTTGTAATCTGCCCCCTCTGCCACAGCCATATGCTCTGAAAGGCAAGCTAGAGGGGCAGATGTATAATCTGGGAGATGATCCAAATCTATGACCTCCTTGGAGCCAAGGGTATTGTGTGTGCAAAGCCAGTTCTCGTTGCCATGCCCAGAAATTTTAATTTATAGAAACAAAGGAGAAAAAAGCACAGAGAAAGAAGAAGAAAAATAAAAGCCTACTGATATCTTCAGCCACAATACACAACTAGTACATCATCTGTTTTACTAAAGTTGACCAAGGTAGTATCCTAGAGAAATAGTGGTGTTTCTTTAACCCTTGTAAACTCCAATAGGAAAGGTAGCTCTTCAGCAATATGACTATGGGCTGTCTTGATCCAAATTCTCAATCCATTCTCTTTGCCAAACTCACCACTTACTCTATGGTAACAGTCTTACATGACTGGTAAGTTACACAAAAATTCCATGAAAGTATCAGGATATCTAGACTTTAGAAAGATGAAAAGCCAAAAATCATTTGGTGCAAAGCAGAGAACATATGAGGAGAGAGGCTTTTGTTAGAATAAATAGGACTGGTTTTGATTTGTTTTAGTACCTAAAGGACTTATCAAACAGCCTTCTCATGCACTACTCTTCAAGTGTGGTCATGACATGGAATTCACTCTGCAGAGCATTCCAGGGGTTCAAAAAGAATTCTAATTAGTATCTGATCCATGGCCACATGGGCAAGGACTACAAATAGCCAGATAAGCCTCTTTTTCCCCACTTTATGATAGGGCACATTATAATCTGATAAAAGCTCCTTTGTGAACCCTATTTTATTTCTTCCAATAACAATGAATCATTACAAGAATCTCTAGACAGAGTAATAAACCATAGCTTGTAACTACAAATATAACGAGAACTTTTTATTATGTGGTTTCTTATTGAAAGGAATTTTCCATTTCAGACTTTCTCAGCATATTATGACCATCATTTCCCACTTTGTTCTTATGTCACATGGCTTTCCATATATTTCTAAGGGGCATTTTATATTGGATTGTCTTGTCAAAAGAGATCCAGTGAAATAAAACCATGTCTGGCTTCATGTGTGCTCTAATCTGCATTAAACACAATGGTTTATTTGACTTCAGTCCTTTATAAAGAATAATCATTCATTCATTCATTCACTCATTCTGCAAAGACACAATGGTGGTATCTTGGAGGATGTGGGAGTCAAAGTGAAATGTAGGAGAGTTAAATCTGCATTAAACCCAATGGTTTATTTGAATTCAGTCTTTTACAAAGAATATTCATTCATTCATTCATTCATTTAACAAACAATTATTAGACTCTAGACTTCTGCTTCCAATAATATATCAATTCTCAAAATATGAATAAAACTCTGCACATGACCTCACATGCCACAAATAGATCTTGGATAGATTAAAAATGCACATTTAAATGGGTTGATTTGTTCATAGGAAATTAAAGGAAATCCTAAAGGAAAGCCCTTCAACAAACAAAAAAACAAGTGAAAAAACCAACAGTGAGTGATGGTAGGCAAGCAAACTTGCAATTTGAGATTGCCTTTTAGGTAAATGCTGAATCTAGGAACCTGGAGCTTGGGAGGGGACACAATGGTGGTATCTTGGAGGATCTGGGAGTCAAAGTCAAAAGCAGGAGAGTTAAAGCAGTGACCCTCAAGGGGCCTACAACTTTAGTAGAAGACTGGGCTGAAAAGCCTCATCCCCCTGATACATTTCCTTAAGCAAAGCCAGTCTAAGAAAATCTGTCTCATCTCTGGCTCTAGATAGGAAAAACAACAATTAAAAAAAATCACCATATTCCTTTGAGAACTTGCAACCATAATACTGACCTCTTAGAGGTATTAAATCAAGTTTATTTTCTCCCAATCAATTAAACTGTCAGCCAAGAAATTATATGAAAGTGATCCCAGGTTAGCAGTGTCCTGCCAGTACTCCAGAAGAAACAAATCTAAATCCTCTCTGAAGAAAAGCACATGCAAATCAGGCTCCCCAAGATTCTCATACATTAAAGCCAACCAAATATGACCTCCCAAATGGAAATTACCAAACTTATAAAGAAAAAGTCACCATGAATGAGAGTCAGCAGAGATGTGAGATTTAGACACTAAACTGGAGCTAGAAGATAGGTCTGGAGAAATTAGTCCAGGTTGTACATCCCTATTCCAACAATCCAAAATCTGAAATACTCCTAAATCCAGAACTTTTTGAGCACTGACATGATGCTATAAGTGGAAAGTTCCACATAGGACCTCATATGCCACTGTTTGTTGTTGCTGTTGCTGAGCAGCTGACATAGGTATTCTGGTGATGCCACTGTGCTGCTTTTTTACCTGAACACATTATTTTTTACTGTATTAATGGTATTCCTATTTTTTGTCATTAACTACTCATGTGTGTAAGTATAAAAAATGACTACCTAATGGTAGCATATAAATTCAGAGTTGGGAATGATGGTGGTGCCAAACAACCACAGACTGACCACATGGGTGGCTGAGATAGTGACACCTTTGCTTTCTAGTGGTTCAATGTACACAAACTTTGTTTTATGCACAAATTAGTAAAAATATTATATAAAATTATCTTCAGCCTATGTGTACAACATGTATATGAAATGTAAATGAATTTTATGTCTAGACTTGGGTCCCATCCCCAAAATATCTCATTATGTATATGCAAATATTCCAAAATCCAGAAAAATTTGAAATCCGAAGCATTTCTGGTCTCCAGCATTTTAGATAAGAGATACTCGACTTGTACTCAGAATGGAGTGCAGAGTCAAGAAGACAGAAAAATATCAAAAAGGATTTAACACATACAGTTGAGAGAGTATGGCCTAAAAATCATTTTACTAAATAGTAAGAATTCCACAAAGAGGAGACAGAATGAGCAAGAGGCATAGTAACAGCCATAATATCCCAGAAGTGATAAAAAACATTGATATAAAGCCATGGGAGTCATACCACATACCAAGAAGGATAATATAAAGAAATCTACACCAAAACCTAGACTGTAGTGAAAGTGAACGTCAAGGACAAAGAGAATTTAAGAGTAACCAGAGATAAAAGACTTATCAAAGGTAAAGAGAAGCCAATTAGACTGATGGCTGACTTTTCAGAGCAGAAGCCATAAGACAATAGAAGAAGATCTCCAATGTGCTATAAGTCTAACTTTATATACCCAACAAAAACTAGTTGCCAAGGAAAATACATGTTCTAATAAACAAAACAGTGTCATCATTAGACTAGCATTAAAGAATGTCTGGAAGGCATACTTCAGAAGAAGGAAAAAGACCCAAGAGGGAAGGTCAGAGATTCAAAGAAAAATGGTGAGTTAAGAAATTGGTAAATACTTGGAGAAGTCTGAACAAATATTGAATGCATAAAACACTGAAATTAATATATAATTTGCGGGACCAAAAAATAAGAAAGAAAACAAAATGGAAATCATATAAAAATTGGAAGCAGGTAAGGAAAGCTAAAGGGTTCTCAGTTCCTTGTATTGTTTGGGAGAAGGATTAGATACAGACTAATTTTAGATTTTGTTAGGTATGCATGCCAAAAATGCAGTGTATAATTTTCAAATCACTATCAGAAAAAAATGGGATTAAAAAGCAATTCAGCCTAAAATGACAAGAGAGGGAAAAAAGGTCATTAAAAAGTAGTCCAAATTTAAAACTGAAAATAAAACATAAATCTAAATATGCTAGTAATTGCAATAAATGTAAATGTGTTAAACCCCAGTTACAATTCAGGTTGTCACATTGAACATCAAAACAAAATCCAGCTATTTATTAGGACAAGACATACACATAAAGCTTAAGGACACAAAGTTTGAGAGCAAAAATATGCAAAAAGACGTATCAAGAAAAAAGATTTAGCAAGTACTACGTAAAGGATGCCTGCCGTGTGCCACACACTGCTTTTGGAACTGGGGATACAAAGTCTCTGCCTTCATGAAGCTCACTTCTGGAGGTAGGGGAAACAGACAGTAGGTTACATACATCAATAAATGCACACACATTTACTACAGACTGTGATTAGCTCTATAAGGAGGTAAACAGTAAGGTGAGAGAAACTGGCTTCTTGTTGGGTGACTATTTTAGATAGGGTGGTCACAGAAATTGTCTTTGAAGAAAGAACATTTGACCTGAGAATTGAATCAGAGTGAATCAGCCGTATAGAGTGGAAGATCACTCTGGGCTAATCGAATGCATGTGCAAAGGCCTGAGGAGAGTTTTCCTCACTGAAGCTCTCCAGGTGACGGTGGCTCGGGAAAGGGTGGAAAGTGAGGCTTTGGGATGTATTCTTGTGGGATCAACCTGATTTCCTGCTGGTAAATGTCAGGGCTTAAGAGAGGAAAAAGTCAAAGCTGACTGCATCTGGTAAGGCTTTCCAGGCCCACATGGAAGTGTACCATTGCATCTGTTATGTTTCTCTCTCCAATGAAATGGCCTGCTGGGGGACTATATTTGAAAATATAACTCAAGTTAGAGTTTATTGAGAGAAGTTTATAGTAAGTAAAAGGTGAAGCTTTGCACATTTCTTGCACTGAAGAAGCCAGTGTTCAACCAGAAATGAAGGCATTTGACTACGGACAGGAAAAGGCACCCAGGGTGTAGGTCATTGTTAATGTATCCTGAAGGTCTGGGTAGAGACTCTTTGCTCAAACTAAGATTCCCTGAACTTTGTAAAGAAGCATGACAGAAACTATGGAAATGCTGATAGAAGCTTACAGAATTAATCAGTGCTTTTCAAACCTCAACAATTAGTGTTACCATTTTATAATATTCTGCCATTTTCATATAGCATTTTATATTCTTATTTCCTTAAAAATAACTCAGTTTTTGAACAAAAATTTTATTTGCGAAAAACATGTAGCAGCGCTGTAAGTGAAAAATCAGTCTTTTACTAATGTACATTAATTTAAATATATAATTTTTCAAAATAAAGAATGTTTGCCCATATAAACCATTTAAAATAGGGTATGGGCCACCAGACTACTAAATCAACCTACAGTAGTATTTCTGTGAGGCCTGTTAGTGCAGCAGTAAAATGTCTCTGTCACCAGTTTGATGCCAGTATTTCTAAATATCTCTCACAGCTCACTGAGGGCATGCCATGATATTTTACAAAACTAAAACCAAACTGTCTTTTTTTTTTTCTTTTGCAGTTGTGGTTTGGTTTGCTTGGTTTAAAAAAAAAACTGATTGGCTAATAAAAGTGTTTTCATTCAAAAGGTAACTTTGAATGGCTTTGTTCTCTTTTGATGGGGTGAAATTTGTAAGCTGTTTCGTAGGGGTATGCGGTTTCTAATTATCAGTAGAGTGGGAATGATTCTGCATTGCTTATTTTAGCAAGGAGAAGTAATCTAGGTTCCTTTAAGTTTTCTCTTTCATTTCACACATTCTTCATTAACCCCCTAATTATAAGTCTGTTTTTATTGGATACAGTTGGGCATCATGGGCCTCTAAAAAAGGACTTTTTGTACATGGCATTGCATGGGTACCTTATTAAATAAATTACTAGGACTAAGTTTTTGCCCTCTAGGATACCAAAAATTGACAAGGGGGTTTAATATTCCCTAATTATGATTTTCCTTATGGCTTTTTTCTTTTCCAGCAACCCATAAATGACAGGTCTCATGGTTAAGCCTTTCTCTATTCTCTTTTCTTCCAAAATACTTCTGTGCTGCAAATAGGTTCCCAAATAGGTTTCCAGTATGACTCCGGGATTCAGCCTTTCATCTCCTTCCCAGAAACTAGAAGCTCCCTTTTCCTGTGGTTCTTCTGCCCATAATCTTTGCCAGTCCCCATGCTAGATCTTTCCATTTGTACAATATTTCTATTACTAGGTTTTGTATGTGATGGTTTAAGTTTAAAAATGTTATTTTTTAATCCATAAATTATTTGTTACCTAAATAGTACATTAAATATAGTCTGAATGTAAAACTCAAATACTACAGATAAAGCAGAAGGTCCCTTTGACCCCCAACCATAATCTTCCTCTTCAATAAAGATAACCACTGTTACTTTTTCTGTGCATTTGCATTTATACATAAGCACATGGTATTGTCACTGTTTGCATTCCTATTGTTGCTACTAAACTGTGAGAACCTTAGGGGCAGAATCCATATTCTATACCACTTTGTATTTGTAGCAGTTGGCAAAGAGCCTGGTATACGGTACATGTTCAATAAATACTAGCTTACTAAATGAGTTTATCATTGGTTGCCCCACTCTATGCAATAGATAAGAGTTTTCCTTCCTGTATGAAAAAAAGCTGGATTTGGGGAATATTAATAATATAAGGGAGCCATGACTATTGATCAAAGGAGATTTTTTTAAAAAAAACATCCTGAGAGGGATCTTTGAGGCTGTGATATGTAATATAAAATATATATTTGGTTTTCCTCTCATTTCCTGACACTCAGCTCCTAAAACCCTTGGAATCTCCAAAGTGATGTATCTTTGAACGTTAATAAGATGACTGATGAACAAGAGCTCTTGAATAGCCTCAGGATTTGGGGCTGCCTGCCAAGGGAATCAACCAAGTGACTAGAGGGTTGGAATTTTCAGTCCCACCCTCTAAGCCGGAGAGAGAGAAAAAGAGCTGAAAGTTCAGTTGCTAACCAATGGCCAATAATGTAATCAATCCTACCTACTTACGGAAGCCTCCATAATAGCCCAAGAGCACAGGGTTTGGAAAGCTCCTAGATTGCTGAACACACGGAGATGCCTGGAGAGAGTGCATGGAAGCTCCTAGAACCTTCCCACAACCTTGTTCTATTCATCTCTTCCATCCAGCCCTTCATGTGTATCCTTTGCAATGTTCTTTATAATAAATGAGTAAGCCTAAGTAAGTCATTTGCCTGAGTTCTGTGAGCTACTCTAGAATATTAATTGAACCTGAGGAGAGTCATGGGAACTGTGAATTACAGCTCGTTGGTCAGAGGCCCAAGTCACAACTTAGGACGTGGGACTGGCTTCTGAATGGGACAGGCTTGTGGAACTAAGAGCTTAATCTGTGGATTCTGACTCTATCGCCAGGTAGATAGTGTCAGAATTGAATTGAATTATAGGACACCGAGTTGCTGTCCACTGGAGAACTGGTCAGTGTGTGTGGGGAAAAACCATACACATTTTGGTGACCAGAATTGAAGCATTCTGTGCTGTGCTTAGTATTCTGTGTTGTATGTGTGAGAATAGAAAAAAACTGTTTTTCTCCCTATCTCTTACAGGAACTGACTGGCTCTGGAGCAGAAGTGTGAGTTGAGGCAAGAAAGTGTGAAAGAATAGAACCTAGAGACACTTGAAGTTAAACAATCCTGGGCACCAAGAGAGAGCCTGCCTGAGAAAGCAGGGGAAGGTTTCCCTGGGAGGTGCGTCTTCAAGAGTTCAGCTGGGGCTCCGAGGCATAAAAGGGCAAAATATGGTCAGAGAGTAACTGTGACTAGCTGGGAGTTGGGAACCTGTAGATGGAGGGTGATGGTGGCAAAAGGCAAGGCTGGAAGGGCAGGTCATGACAAGGTGATGGAAGCATTCGTATAACTGGTTAATAATACTGAACTTCGGCCGGGCGCGGTGGCTCACACCTGTAATCCCAGCACTTTGGGAGGCCGAGGCGGGCGGATCACGAGGTCAGGAGATCGAGACCATCCTGACCAACATGGTGAAACCCCGTCTCTACTAAAAATACAAAAAATTAGCCGGGCGAGGTGGCGGGCGCCTGTAGTCCCAGCTACTCGGGAGGCTGAGGCAGGAGAATGGCGTGAACCCCGGGGGGCGGAGCCTGCAGTGAGCCGAGATCGCGCCACTGCACTCCAGTCTGGGCGACAGAGCGAGACTCCATCTCAAAAAAAAAAAATAAAATAAAATAAAATACTGAAATTCATCACATTACTGGAGCCTCAATGTAGGAACAAAAGAGTGCTTTGTAAGGAGGCAATACTATTCCTGAAATATATGTCTTTTAAGGCTTCCTCTTACCTCCAATAAACAGTATTCATGTTTGAAACTCGTACACCTAAACACCCTTCATCTTACATGAAGTAATAGCAATATTAGGAAAACCAATACATCCTAAAATATTTCTCAACATTAGCTGGCAATATTATAACTTTATCAGATTTTAGAAATAAAATTTCAGCTTGACATACATTATTCAACATAGACTGGGAGGTCCATTATGTAAGAGCTCACCTTCAGATTTTCCAGGTTGAGTATTTAATGTGTACTTCCAATATGAGGTGTCGGCTACGATTTAGCTGAAAAAACTTAAGATTTAAAACATTGCTAGAATGGCTAGACAGCCATTTGGTGAATCCTGGCAGACTAGATTTTCCAAAGATGTTTAAAATGAAAGGTCTTGCAAGTAGGTAGCTTATAATCTCCCTTGGTCACTAGAATCAGAGCATCTCAGCTTTTTTTTTTTTTTTTTTTTTTTTTAATTTCTCTACAACTAATGATACCACTCTGTGTGTCTTCCAACGTGACTTGCTGTCCTACTTCTCCCCTCTATCCTAGACTCTTCTACCTTGCCTTCTTGAGTCCAACTATCCTTCCATGGTTGACAAAATACTGTTCATTTTCAACCCAACCTCTTCTTTCAAACCACCTCTGTGGTGTTTTTGTTTTTGTTTTCTTAATTGAAATGCAGTTCTCCACTATGAATTCTACTTTCTCAGCAGCTTTCTCAATTGAAGCTTCTCACACCCATATCATGCAGGTCAGGGTTAGGAGGAGATCCAACTTGGTCCTTTTTTCTCACTTTCTGCACTTTGCTCATATGGAATCTTGCTGCTGCACAGCTCATGCTAGCCTGTCACTCTTCCTTCTACTCCCAATCATCCTTGCCTTCTACTACCTTCATCATCTAACCATCTGAAAGATTTCCACCTTGGAGTGTGGGTAATGGAACCCCAAGGAGGCTTCTTTCTCTGTCTTTCTGCTGGGCTCTGAAGAGGCAGAGGAGGCAGGGGAGGCTCCAGGCTGTGGGGCCATGACAGCAGTGTGAGTCTCTCCTGCTTCCCCAGGTACTTCCAGTGCCCGCCAAGTTTGGTCTCTTTGCATCCATCCACAAGGTGATCCATACTGGCTTCCCATCCACCAGCCCAGCCAAGGCCAAGAAGACCAAACGTATGGCCATGGGTGTGTCAGCACTGACCCACAGTCCCAGCATTTCCTCCATCAGTTCCATCGGTTCCATGGCCTCCTTTGTAGGGGGGCGGCCAGAGCCTTTGTGTTAATACATTTTACTCTTAAGTGTCTATCTACCCTGTCTCTATCTTCTCACTCTTGTTATCAAGAAGTAAATGCCGCAGGAAATTGCTGGTCAACACCTGCAGAAAAGCTGGTCCTAACCTGTAAGTTGGAGCTAAACCCAAACACTGGAGATACCAGCAAATTCCAGTATACCTGGAGATATGTGATCAAGAAATAAATGTTTACTGTTGGTTTTATTATGCAGCATAGTTGCAGCAATAGCTGACAAGTACAATGAAAATCAAGTTGGATACCCTTTTTTACTTACCCATTAAGTTTAACTTAAAAAAAATACTCAAAGCTTTCTTGCCTAAATATTTCTTACTTTTCTTTCCCCTTCCATTGCTAATCACTGACACTTAGGCCAACATCATCTCTTATATGGACTATTAGTCTCTCTCTCCTTTTTTTTTTTTTTTGGTGGGGGGGGGGGGTCCCTTCAGGTTCCTACAACCAAAAGATTGATATTACTAGAATATAAAAGTGACCTCTTATTTAATCTGTTTAGATTATCTGAGCCTACAGGATAAAATGGTACTTTTTCATTTGGTGTGAGTCTGTATGGTCTAATCTCTGCCTACTTGGCTTAACTTGGTATCTTGTCACTTTCTCTTTGTACTGCTGCCACACTGAACTGCTTAAAATTTCTTAAATATACCATGATGTTTCATGTTCTCAGAACTTTCCAGAAGCCTGAAATGTGTTGGCTCATTGACCTTTTCTGTATCGCCAGTTTCTATTTTGCTTTCAGATCCTGCTATGGAAGCATATCCTTTCTGAAACGTGACAGCCATCCCCAATTCCAAATGGAATTAAGCAATATTTCCTCTGTGAGGTTTTTGCATTGAACTCTTTAGCATGAGGGTGTCAAACAAATACTGAATTAGGCATTTGTATTTTTTCTCCTCTACCATATTATAAACATTTTATAAGGCTGAGAACTTGTCTTATTTTACTTTGTATCTCTAGCACTTAACACAATATCTGTGTAGAGTGGGCATTTAATAAACATGAGTGGAACTAAAATAATTTATTTTGAAACTTGATTTGGAAACATATGTTGTCTCTTTATTTACTCATGAATTTTAGAGATGCATACACCTGCTCCATATTTGAGGAGTAAAGAATTTTATGGAAAAGACTGATATATTTGTTTCTAATTCAGTTTAATTCATTGAATTTTACAGACCACATTATTCAGTAATTTTTTTTGCAAATGTGGAAATACTAGAGTTGCTTCACAATCAACTTTGTATAGGAAGAACGCTAGACATATTGCTAACTTCTTTATGACAACTTCCTGAATCCCATGGAAATATAAACCAAGGCTGCAGCATGTGAGAAATGTATATATTTCTTGTGTCTAATGCTATATTTATCCAACAAAACAAATGACAAAAGCTTAGAAAGCATCCAATAAAGATGTTTGTCCAAATAGAGAACCATGCTGTCATATCTTAATGAGTCGATGAGGAAAGAAAAGAGTTCAAGTACACTAACCATTAACTTGAAAATTTTAGCTCCTCATCAATAATAACCATAAAAATTCATGAAAATTTGCAATCCAATTAGAAGATGCAAATATTTTTTAAATGGCCATAACTGGTGTTCCAAAGTGTAAATGCACATTCAAATTTTAATATTCTATAAAAGTATGGAATAATAAGACTCAACACAATTTATGAAATGTCATTTAATAACTCATTGCTCTTGAATTAAAGTGACTATCCAATCACCCTATGGTTTTAAAAGCTCTGTTCTTTTGCAAGGATCTAGAAATTTCTTAGGTCACATTTGAACACTCTGGATTTGAGGTTTATACACATTGCATTTAGAACAAAATGTAAGGCCTGCTGAAGTAGTAACTTGCATACTAAACTCTTGGCCTTTGTTATAAGGATACACAACACCTGCACGTGTGCCTTTGGTATAATTTATACACGTCACATGCACATCTTCTCTCTCATACAGCTCTTAACTTGGCCCACACACTCCTGTACATGTACACATGCACACATACATGTAAGGAAACAAAGGCAAGAACGATCAGATTAGATGTCCCTCTCATACTCAAGGAACTACAGTAGTTTGGTAGATAAATTAAAGCTATTGTGTTCCTAGTTCAGCTGGCTGAGGTTACACAACGCAAGTAAAGATGTATCAGATAGCTTGATATGTGTGTGTGTCATGTAGGGGCTGTGTCTTTCATAAGGCATGTGCTAGTGAAATATAAATTGCCCCAAAGCATAAGCTCCACCATACAATGCTGGGGTTCATATCCTTACCCCAAACTAGTTACCAGCTGAGAGGTCAAGTTTTTTATTTTTTTATTTTTTATTTTTTTGAGATGGAGTCTTGCTCTGTTGCCCAGGCTGGGGCACAGTGGTGTGATCTTGGCTCACTGCAACCTCCACCTTGTGGGTTCAAGCGATTCTCTTGCCTCAGGCTTCCAAGTAGCTGGGATTACAGGCATGGGCCACCATGCCCAGCTAATTTTTGTATTTTTAGTAGAGACGGGGTTTCACTATGTTGTCCAGGCTGGTCTCAAACTCCTGATCTCAAATGATCCACCTGCCTTGGCCTCCCAAAGTGCTGGGATTACAGGTGTGAGCCACCATGCCCAGCTGAGATCAAGTATTTAAATTACCTGAGCTTCAGTTTTTTCATCAAACTGTGTTAGGATACCAAACATACTTAGTGGCCTCACATAGAAATAGCTCCCTAGATTGTTAATGAGTACTTGCTCATTAATTGATAAAGTTGTCTCAGAAAAGGTCTGGACTTGCTGCCAACCATTACTTTCACACACTTGCCTGTTTTACAGCTATATGGACAGGTGTTTGAGAATATAAGAAATTAAAACAGGAATAGCCAAGCTTTTTAGTCCATTTTGCTAATTAATATGTCAGAGCTCATAAAGAAGAACTCATCGGCCTTCTTCAGTACTGCATCATCTTAAAGAGCTGGGTCAGCAAAGATCTCTGCAGACAGTCAATACATATTAAAACAGTTCCAAGCAGTAAATCAAAACAAAAAAAAAAGAAGACACTAAAAAAAGTAAAATTTATAAGCCCTTTCTGTCTGAACATAAAGGAGCATTAAACTATTGGTTGAAGTGTCATTTTAGTAGACAGAAAGAAAATAAGAAAGAATTCCTTCTTAAAGACACACTTTAAGACCCTGAGTATAAGCAAAATTAAAGCATAACAATAAAAAAAAAGCTGTGCTAAATTTGATGTCATTTTCTCTGGATCCTAATGTTCCCTCAGAATATTTAAATCATTTAAAAATGGTTTTACTGTTAAAAAATACATTTTTCTGTTTTTTTTTTTTCTCCAGGCATTGCTAGAATTTGAATTTTGTCAGAGTTCAATTAGTGAAACAAGGAAAGAGGTTAAAGACGTTTTTGGTTTTTCAAGGCTCTATGAAACTTGTGATTTTTCTTCAAGGAACCAAACAAAGGGTATTTTATTTCTAACTTCTCCGGGCAGGTCTCACCATACCATAGACTTAAATGTCTCTCATATTTGGAGGAGGATTCTACCAACTCAGAAACAGGAGAATCATCCTGCTATCTTCCTTGCCAAGGTAATGAGATACAATGCCCTTTTGGGGAAGCCCCTGAAATAGGGGTTAGAGAAATCTCAAGAATACTGGACTAATTCCAGAAGGGGTGAGGGGAACACTACATTTTTGGGTCAAAAATATTATAAAGATTTATTTTACCTGGGCCTTTGATTGGATCTGAGCTCCGAAGGATCAACCATTTAAAAATTAAGCCAAGAAAAGGGTACCAAAAATATTGTCACAAATTTGGGAGGTACCCAAGCCAGACCAACAGATGGAACTTGGCACGAAATAGCTCTTTACAGACTAAGTAGCTGACTCAAGAAATTTTAACTCAGATGAATTTATTAAAATGTTGAATGTCATCTTGAATAAGAGGCTGGATGATAGATTTAGGTCAGTATATACAATTTAATTTGTTTAACTTCCTGTTGGTCTTGGATAGTATAAAAGCTGCTCACATTTCTATAGTTAAAGAGAAAGAGCGAGAGACTCTTAGCATAAAAAAAAAATACAAAAAAAAAAAAAAATTAGCCGGGCACCACACACATGCCTGTAATCCCAGCTACTCAGGAGGCTGAGGCAGGAGAATTGCTTGAATCTGGGAGGCAGAGGTTGCAGTGAGCAGAGATCGTGCCACTACACTCCAGCCTGGGTGACACAGGGAGAATCTGTCTCAAAAAAAAAAAAAAAAAAAAACTCTTATTTTAACCTAAATATTCTGAAGAAAGAATTTGGAAAAGGGGACAATATCACAACAAAAAGAAGTTAACTGATTCCTTTTAAGAATGGTGAGACAGGCTGGGCGCGGTGGCTCACGCCTGTAATCCCAGCACTTTGGGAGGCCGAGGCGGGCGGATCACAAGGTCAGGAGATCGAAACCATCCTGGCTAACATGGTGAAACCTTGTCTCTACTGAAAATACAAAAAATTAGCCAGGCGCGGTAGTGGGCGCCTGTGGTCCCAGCTACTCGGGAGGCTGAGGCAGGAGAAATGGCGTGAACCCGGGAGGCGGAGCTTGCAGTGAGCCTAGATCGCGCCACTGCACTCCAGCCTGGCGGACAGAGCCACTCCGTCTCAAAAAAAAAAAAAAAAAAAAAAAAAGAATGGTGAGACAAGTAGAGATTTATAAGTTAAAATACAACCTGGTAACTTGCTTAGTGGTCACAGATGACCTGTAGCCGACTGAGACTACAGGTGAATTTAAATGAATTTAAAAAATGATTTTGTAACTGAAAGAGGTTGTTAGAATCAAGAGAACCCTTAACCCTCTGCTGCTGCTGCTGCCGCCACCACCACCACCACCACCACCACCACCACCACCAAATCCCAATGAGATATCCCTTCACGTAAATGCAACGCACAGAGGGGAGCTATGTTTTATGTGAGGGGTGAGTTCCTGAGGATCATTATAATTCAAGACTAATTTTCCAAAAGAAAGAAATGTAAAAAATTGGGGGAGTGGCCAGGCTCTGTGGTTCATACCTGTAATCCCAGCACTTTAGGAAGCTAAGGCAGGTGGATTGCTTGAGCCCAGAAGAGTTTGACGCTAACCTGGGCAACAAGGCAAAATCCCATTTCTACAAAAAAAATAAAAATAAAAATAAAAGTTAGCTGGGCATGGTGGCATGCACATGTAGTCCCAGCTATCCGGGAGGCTGAGGTGGAAGGATCACCTGAGCCAGGGAAGTTGAGGCTGCAGTGAGCTGTGATCATGGCATTGCACTCCAGCCTGGGTGACAGAGAGAGATTCTGTCTCAAAAACAAAAACAAAAAACAAAAAACAAAAAATGGGGAAGGGTATGTTCTTAGAGTACATAAATTTTGAACCTTATTTGAGTATGTTCCTCTAATGCTGCTCTGTGCTTTCTCAGAACCGTTTCTAGTGTTTTACAAGATGCTCTCATTTAATGTGACTCTACAGTATATGGTTTTTGGTGATTGTTTAGCCCTCTTCATTGCAGGCCACTTTTGCTCCAAAGTTATCAAGTGGCTGGTTATTTTTCAGCATTTCTACAGATGCCCAATGAAAAACGTGAAGTAGTAATAACGTTATAATAGCACTTAAAAATATAAAAATAGTGCATGTTGGAATAACAGTACTAATTAGTAACAGAAATATTCTTTAAAACATCAGAAGTATTTAAACAGTGTGGTTCATGTGACATAAAGACTGTTGGAACTATTTCTATCAGCTAAAGTGAAGTTGCTGTATGGAATTTGCAATGAACCTGTGTGACAGCTTTAAAATTCTGCCATTTTTGACTAAAACTTTTTTGGAAGATTATTATTTCAAATTTTGCACTTAGCATAATTCTTTATTAATATTTTATATCATACTATGTAAAGACAGATCATTGAAATTTACATAAAATGTTATGGCAATATACAAAGATGACAAAGTTCTCATCTAAAAAGAGTGACAAACTTTTAATTGCCACCTAATAGTAGTGTGCTTGGAAATTAAGGTTAGAATAAGATTTGATTTCCTGGAAAAAGCCAGAAAATTTATTATTTGCTCATTTTCAAAAACCAAATTGATAAAAATTCCAGAAAAGGACTTCAACTTTTTGCCTTGAAGCCTATCCCAGTACTAAGAAAAGGCTTTTCATCTTCAGGTATTATAACAATATGTATAAGAGAACTATAAGCAGTAGAATGTATTTAAGATGAAGATATTATAGATTATCCTTGGGGTTCCCTGGTCATGAGAACTTCCTTCTGAAGCTCCTAAAAATATGTCCAGTAGTAGAGAATTTAATGGAAGAGGATGTTGGGAGCAAGGAGCATGTGGCAATTTATCACTCCCATAGAAATCTCTTTCACAGTGATCTAACTTCTTAGGCTTTTTATTAGGAAAAGCAAGAAAAAAAAATCTAAGAGTTGTGAACCAGCCCTTCCCTGCTGTTATCACAAGAGAATCTGGAGAAAGAAGAAAGGAAAAAAATCATAATCTTGCCCTGGAACATGATGGAGGTAATGAGGCATCAAGGCCACTTACTGCTGAAAACATAATTGGCACACAAACACGGGAGACACTTGGTGATGGGAAAGACTTCTTTGTTTCACCAATGGAGGGATGTCAGAAAATCATAATCCTTCTGTTGTTTAGAGGGGCAATGCTATGAGCAAAATGGACATTTTCTCCTCCAAAACAATGTGCCCCTAGAGGAAAGGGATTACTCCACTATTTGCTAGCTTAGTAGCTTTAAATGTTTTCAACTAATGTGAATAAATGATGATGGAGGAAGGAAAAAGGAATAGAAGGCAGTCGACTTGGCAATGAAAAAACAGCTTGGATTTTAGGAGTGAAGGTAACTCACACATGATAAAGACCTAAGAGATCCTTAGAAATTTTTGTGGACTTCCTAGAGAATATCTAGGGAGCTCATTCATGTCTCTAAATAAAAATAATGCATACATCCCTGGAACAATCCATTTTGATGACAGGCAGAAAAAAAAAAAAGAAAAAAAATCCTATTCTTTTTTGAGGAGAAAAAAATGATCGTATCTTTCTTATTCTGGAATTCTCTGTCCCGCCACTTAAATATGAAAGTCATCATGGGAAAGAATCTTGAACTTTCTTGGGTTTTCTTGCAATTTTTTTAAGTGTTTAGCTAGAGTACAGATTTAAGATTTTTGGTTTTATATATCTTTTTGGAAATCTTTATTCTTTCCTCCCAAACATTCTGAGTCAGCATACATTATGCCACTATACACACAGCCAAGCAATAAGTCATCTTTGTGGAAGTCAGAGACATCTCATGTATTAATTAGAAAGCCTTTCAGTGACTAGTGGATAGAAACAGGTTCCAACTGCTACTAAAACACAGCCAGTGATTTCCAGGAAGAGGAATATAGTCAGTTACAAGGAATTTCTTACCCGATTTTTGTCCAGCCAATGAGTGAACCTTGCTTTCATCTGGCACTGAGGAGAAGAAATAAAAGAGACAAGGATCAGACCGGCTTGTAAATCAGACAATTTTTAAACAGTAAATTAATGCAGATTCATAATAAGTTAAATCTTTTACTGGCAGAGATTTGAGAAACATTTTTTTCTCCCAGCCTACCCTGGGATACCTCACTTTTATTGGTAGATATCTTGAAGACAGCTATGAATAAATATATGTTTATTAGATCTTTTATGAACATAACTTCATTTTCTCATAATTTTCAATACTTTCAGTTATTTTAACTGGGTTGTTTCTTCCACATTTACAAGAGGAGAAACCAAATTCATAGACCCAGGGATGTATACAATATAATAAAATTCTTTCAGCATAACAGCAATACGTGTGTGTGTCTGTGTGTATATTAAATACTTAAGAATTAGACTTCTGTTATCTAGTCAAAATAGAGTAAAAGGGAACAGATTTGTAATTCCCCTTGAAACAATTTTAAAAACTAGACAAAACAAGAAACAATGGCATTCAACAGATTAGACATTAGGCAACAAAATGCAGTGATCCCAAGAGATGGAAAACAAATGACGTGAACTTTACAATTGCCCCAGCTTATTCTCTGAAGAAAGCCTCCAGGCAGCCGTGCGGGAAAGCCAACACCCAAGCAGAACAGTGATGGCCCCAGCTTGAGGGCATGGTGCTGGGCATCCCAGGAAGCCAAAGCAGACAGAGGTTGCAGAGCAGAGAACCAGAGAGGAAAGAGCAATACTATCTTCAGAAAAATCTCCTCATATATGTAGTTGAATACTGATGATCATATGTGTGTAAGAAAATTAACCCAAGAGTTGGCAAAGAACCATTCCAAACTGGAAGAGGAACAGCATCCGAAGTTCACACAGGGCTGGGAATAGTGCCTATTTCCAACAGCCAGAGTAGAAAACTTCATAACTGAAGGGCATCCATTTGAATGTGAAGAAGGGTCTTGCCTCAACAGCGGGGAAAAACTAACTCTAGATTAATGGAGCTCTGATGAAACGGATTCGTTTTTAAAAGACACAATTACTGAAGCTCATATAGGAAGAATTAGATAACATGGGTCGCCCTATAGTAGTTTTTTGAAAAAAAAAATGTGTTTATAAGTAAAACTTTCCCACAAACAAAACTCTAGGCCCAGATGGCTTCACTGGTGAATTCTACCAAACATTTAAGAAATAAATAAGACCAATTCTACAGAAAATGTATTAGAAAGAGAGAGGATTTCCCAAGCCACTCTATGAGGCTAGTGTTACCCAGATACTAACTAATATCAGAAAAATACATGATATGAAAACTGCTAACCCACATCCTTCATGAACACAGATGCAAAGTTCTTAATCCTTAAGCATCTCTGCATAGATCATCACTTTAATATTCAACAAAAGCTGTTTATTACCATGTGCCACTGTCTATGTTAGTACACAAAACTGTGGTCTCAAGGGTTGAAGCAAGGCGAGGGGAAATTTGCTAACAAGAAGAATCTCTTCCATTTCGCCTAACACTAGATTGATCTCAGAGTAACATGTCCCTTTTTTTCTCTGCCCACAACATTCAGTCTTAATTGACCCAGTTACTATACATAATCTTCCCACTCCCACCTAGCCCTCCTTTTCTAAGCTATTTCTTTATTTTCTAGATAAAAGCACTACATATCTGTGATTATTCTGTTCCCAACTGCTTAAAAATATTGTTAGACTTTTTGTTTTATTTCTAGTTGGGAGGTAAGTATTTATAAGGCACCAGTTGTGAGCCAAATTCTGTTTTTCTCAGGCCTAAAAAGCACTTACATAGAATCAATCTACACTGTAAGTAGAAAAGCATTAGAAAACAATGATAATGATTAAAAATAACCATAGGAACTCATATTTTCTGAGTACTTGTAATACACAGGTTTTATGCTATGCACTTTGTATCTATTCATTCATTCGATTCTCACAACGACCTGGAAAGTATTATTATTACTATCCTTATATTACAGATAAAGAAACTGACATACACCTCATAAATGGAGAAGCCTGAACTTAAATATGGCACTCTTAACCACTCCATTACACTTGTGATAAGAGTCACAGAAGAGTCATTACCTGAGAAACCTGGAATATAAGACAACGCAACTAACTATATGCTGGAAAACTACTCTCTTTATTTGAATATATGCTATTAATAGTTATCTTTCTGTGGTGACCAAGCTTACTAAATGTTAGCTATAATTTTGTTTAACATGTTTTGAAATTGATGATTCTGATGGGTTCAAGCTAAAATATCCATTCTCATTCTACAGATGAGAAATAATCTTTCTGAATTGGAATCCTTGTTTGGAAACAACAGTTTTGTGCAAATCATTTTAACTTTCTGTGGCCTCAGTCTCATCATAAGAGGATATTGCTTACCCCACAGGTTTGTGGTGATGATTACATGTGCAAATATATGCAAGGTACTTAGAAGACAACAGAATAAGTACTTAATAAATATGAACTACTGTCATCATCATTAATGAGAAACAAAATAGAAAGAGAGACTAACATCATAGCTAGTAATCAGACAGATGTGGGTTGAATGCCAGCATTACCAGGCAAGTTACTAAGCTCCTTTTTTTTTTTTGAGACGGAGTTTCGCTCTTGTTGCCCAGGCTAAAGTGCAATGGCACGATCTCGTCTCACTGCAACCTCCACTTCCCGAGTTCAACCAATTCTTCTGCCTCAGCCTCCTGAGTAGCTGGGATTACAGGCATGTGCCACCATGCCCTGCTAATTTTGTATTTTTAGTAGAGACGGGGTTTCTCCATGTTGGTCAGGCTGGTCTCGAACTCCTGACCTCAGGTGATCCGCCTGCTTTGGCCTCCCAAAGCGCTGGGATTACAGGCGTGAACCACTGCGCCCGGCCACTAAGTTCTTTTTAGCTTTAGTTTCTCCATATGAGAAATGGGGGAAAAAACAGTACACAGAGAGTTGGAACTAAATGAAAAAAAATGTACAAAAGCACTTTGCACAGTTCCAGACACATAATTCTCAATAAATGAAAACATTTGATAAATGGAAGTTGTGAGAGTGGTAAAGGTGGTGTATTTGATGACGGTTGTGGGGTACGTGATTTAATTTGCTCAGGATTATAAAGAACTAAAGAGAGAAAATAATTGAGAACATACTATGCTTCAGCCGGGCACTAGGTACTTTTACATTGTTATTGTATGGATCATTCCACAACCACAAAAGATACGACCTAGCAATTTACCTGGCTCCTAAATCATCCTGCAGTGGAAGAAAGGCAATGAAAGTACACTAGACTGTACGGTTTTATTATGTATAGTCATTCAGAAGAAGGGATTCATACAAAGGTAAGGCTTTTGCTGCTTTGTTTTTATCTTTTTTAAAAAATCTAAGCTGATTTAAGTACTTGCAAATTCCCTGGCCATATTAGGCTTAACAAATTATCTTCTTAACTTTTTGGCTGAATAATATTTATTATTTCTTATACTTATCATTATTTTAATTGACAATTTGAAATTATATCAAACACTAATATAAACTATTTGAAAAACATTGTAGAAAATCCAAATGGGTGATAGGCATAAAAATTAGAGGCCTTTCTCTGAAATATTCACTGACACAGATGTCTATCTTTAGGACAGAAGATAAATGAATAAACATAATGGAAAAGAGAGGGAACTATAATGACTTAATTGATAGAATACATTTTATTTAAAAGGTTAAATTTGGAACAATCATCTTTTATACACATGCTTAGTGCTGGGAAGTAATTTAAATAACAGTAGCAAATGAGAAAATGAGGTAAAATTACACATGCCACCAAGTTTTTTTTTAAATGGCAAGTGTTATAATTAATACCAACTTCCTTTATAACTCACATTAACTTAGAGCTACTATTAAAATTATCTCTTGGGGCTTAAGCTTACGTCTAGTAGTTTCACTGCATAATATTTAGCACAGTGATTGGAATGGTAGTGATATGAAATGTGACAGGTGTGTCATTTTAAACAAAGGACTTATTTACAAGAGATTGAAAAATAAATGGGCCTGGTGTGGGAAAGGTCTTTGATTCCAAAACAGTAAAGTATTAATTAAAAGCATTGAGTAAGAGAGTGTTGATGGAGCAAGAGTCTAAGTTTCTTGTTCTCGTTCTGATGACAGAATTTTTTCTCCTTTTCTTTCTTCTTTCTTTTTTAAAAAAGTATTTGTATTTAAAGGTTATTTCATTCCCTTTCTTATCCTTCAGTTTTACCCAAGGACTGGTACTACTTGCTCTTGATTATCGTAAATGGATATTACAATAATTGAAGAGATACCAATGAAATGCTCAGGTTTCTGAAGCTGCAATTCATAAATATTTTTATAACTGTTATTTTATTATAACCATTATTACATACTTAGAGAGTACCATGGACTGCCTCCTCTTGATCTTTCTTCCGATTTATTTAGATAATAGGATTTCTAGACTAACCTCATGCTTCCTCATATTCAATTCAAGATTGATGTACATTATTTTACCTAATTATCATAAGGTGCTTAATAAAGAGGACACTCTTTGGCTTGGATGCTTGTTAATTTCCTGGTGTGTTCTCTGATTCAGGAAGACTTGTTTGAGAAACAGCAGCCTGATGGCCTATGTTTCTAATTCTCATGGTTGTAAGCCTTTGAAGCTAATTAGAACTGCCCAGCATCAATGGCATCTTTTTAAAAAGCATAAATAAACAGTCTGTGTCTTTTCACTTAATTTCAACCAGTTCATCATTAGAATTGAGAGAAAGAAAATACAGGGGAAAAAATCTATGAAAAAGATGGCACTCTGAGAACTAGTTAGTGGCAAACATCAAAGTGCACATAATACTTACACACATTGGCTTCCCAGTAGGATACATTTATATTAATATAGTGATCACTTAAAGTGTTTTATTCTTTTGTCAAGCTTTCTTATACACTTCAAATGCATTCTCACTGGGGGAAAACAATCCCCTTGCTTATTGATAGCATTTGATACGCATTCTATAACATAAGTGACTATTAGGGACTACACTTGCTTAATAAAAATTTGCAGAACAGTGGCAGATTTGGTGAGTTAATGGGCCCCAGATGCTCTTCTTATGCTGACAGAAGATTGTATATTGCTATCATGCACAAGTCTCTTCAGATAAAAATTGCCATCAGCTACAGTTATTCTTTTTTAGAATGCCAACACTATATCACGAATGGGGAATATGCAAATGTGTTCAGATTCTCACTATTCATATTGAGATACTTTGAGGCAAAGTACCACTCTAAAATATGATGCAATGGTAGTCTTATATAGATAACTCCATTTCATTTAATTTTTGATTTCCATATCTTTGAAATAATAGAGACTGCAATTTTGAAGTTGATGTTTGGCACAATAAAAATACATCTTCTAATGAGGCCATAAATACTTCTCTTTGGATAGTTTGCTAGGAAACTAAATATCAAGTAATCCCTTAACAGTTAATAAATTTGTTTTCAAGAGTTGTTCCTTCAGAACTTAAAAAAATTGATGTAGTTGCCAATATTAAAAATCAATTTTCCTCTCCTTTAGCAGATCAATTTCTGTGCCACTGATTGATTTCCAGAATTTCTAAGGAATGCAAACCTGTTTCAAATTGTAAATTAAGTTTCTTCCTGAGCAACCATGAACTATTACTGCATTAATCTATAGTGTTTTCGTATGTCAATGACAATTTGGCATAATGATTCTGCTTAGGAAGACTTTTTGAGTTTTCAGCAATGTGAGTTTTCATGTGTTAAAAAATTCTTCCATCTATTGAAACACACACACACACAAACACACACCCACACCCACACACACAAAACAAGGCTTTTGCTGAAAAGGGGGCTAGGGAATTAGTATAATGGTGCAAACATTTATCTCATTTATCTTAGCAAGCTTTCCCAAAAGCACTGTGTTCCATCTCGAATGTGCTGCAGCTCTGAGAGTGAGCTAATCAGAACTCAGCAGCTGAAATTTTTTTCCAATATCATAATGCATCTCTCAGCCATGGTGACATAGGGTAAAAAAGGAGGGCTTATTCCCTTCATCGTTATCCAACTATCCATATGTTCACAACTCTTCAGTGATCTCTTTAAAATTCCTTTTCTTTCTCTATGAACCTTAGAAAGTCTTAAATTGAAAGTTGCGAAAATCCAATACTTTTCATATGTTCTTACACTGTCATCTTTAGCTCATTAAAGAATATTGGAAAATCCAAGTAATTCCTTCATAAATTTGTTAATTTGTTTTAATCCATTCAGTACACACTGTTTTTCTTAAAAGAATCAGATACTCAACCCCATGGTCTAATGAGGAGATACAAATGACATATTTGTTAGAATAAAATATGTTAAATAGTTTCATTAAGAAAAAGATATGCTTCAGGAAGAGTGGAAGGTCAGACAGACATGAAGGTTCATAAAGACAATAAAGGTTTTAGGTGAATAATTATTTGCATCAATTGATCTGGGAGGAGCAAAAATGCCTTTTAGCACCTAGAACACCTTTACTCCTGGGGAAGGGAGTAGCATGAAAATAAAAAGGAAGATCCCAAGCTTTGACCTTAAAAGGCCCTGGATTCTGATGCTAATTACATCTGTGAGTATGATTTAATTACTGAGTCTTTTTTCAAGCTTACTGAACTTATTTGTAAAATGTAGATAAGGCCTCATAGGATGAGACAACTTGATGTAAAAATTTATCATGAAACCTAACAGAAGTAGGTGTTCACAAATAGATTATGATAGCCTTTCACATCTCACCACTTTTGCCAGCTTTTCTGTACTCTAGCACATCAGATATATATATATATATATGCACATACATATATATATATACACATACATATATATATATATATATATATACACACATACATATATATATATATATATATATATATATTTTTTTTTTTTTTTGAAACGGAGTTTTTTAGCTTTTGTTGCCCAGGCTGTAGTGCAATGGTGCGATCTTGGCTCACTGCAACCTCTGCCTCCTGGGTTTAAGTGATTCTCCTGCCTCAGCCTCCCAAGTATCTGGGATTACAAGCGCCTGCCACCAGGCCCAGCTAATTTTTGTATTTTTAGTAAAGACGGGGTTTCACCATGTTGGTCAAGCTGGTCTCGAACTCCTGACCTCAGGTGATACACCCGCCTCAGCCTCCCAAAGTGCTGGGATTACAGGCGTAAGCCACCGCACCCAGCCCAGAAATATTTTTTATTATTGTTTTTAAATAGAATTTTACCTTACTACACAACATTAAACATTTTTACATTATACAAATTTAAACATTTTTATTTATTAAAAAAATTTAGAGACAGGGATCTTGCTATGTTGCCCTGGCTGGACTCAAATTCCTGCACTCAAGTGATCCTCCTGCCTCAGCAACCCAAGTAGATGGAATGACAGCCGGTGCCACTGCACCTGGCTATAGAAGAAGGTTTTTAAGTAGGCCATGCAACTTTGTACTTAGGTACAAAATCTAAGTAACACATACTATTTCTTCTGAATTGCAAATATCTCAATTATTTGTGCACGGGTCTGTTTCACATTAAACACCTTCAGCAGGGCATTTGTCTTGTTTTTCCATTTTAGCCTAGTACCACGTCTAGCACCGCTCAGGTACTCATTAATGTCTGCTGAGTGAATGCGGCATGTGTAAGAATAAATAAATGACACCAAATTTGGGCATGTCCATTCAGCAAAGGATTCTAGACTCATGAATGAGACAACTGTTCATTGTGAGATATATATAATTATAGGAATGGTGTAGTGTAAATGTATTTAAACACTGTAAAATTCTTGTGGCAGAATTTTCAGACAAGTTCCTAGCAAGGAAGGGTAGGAGAAGGTAATTGGGGTCCAATTCTGGGACAGGTCTAAATAAAGACCAAAACGTAACAGAACTGTTTGGAATAAATATAATTCACTTGTATTTTGAGTAATGAACTTTAGAAATGTAGAAAAATATATGATTAGCAGGCTAGTCTCACTTTGCTGTCTTTCTCTCGGTTATATATAACTGACCACTAGGGTAGTGATTCCTCTCTATTTTTTGGCTTGTTGGCTCTAATCACACTCTTGTTCTTCACGTAGTATACTTGAAATACCAGTTCCCTCTGTTTATAGAAAAATCACACTATATTTCTAAAAAAAACTGAATACTTCATACAAACAGCTCTTCTTTCAACCTGCAAATGTTATGAGTTTCCAAAGCTGTAAATACAGGAAATAAATGTCTTTCTGGTATGATAATTTCAGAAAAAGGCCAAGAACAGAAATACTAGCTTTAAAAATTGCTTTTACTAAATATTAAAGCATGAAAAAATACCAATATGTGTAAGGTATAAAGGATAACAACTGGCTGAGTGTGGTGGCTCCCACCTACACTTTGGGAGGCCGAGTCGGGTGGATCATCTGAGGTCAGGCATTCAAGACTAGCCTGGTCAACATGGTGAAACCCCGTCTCTACTGAAAATATAAAAAAATTAGCCTGGCGTGGTGGTACAGGCCTGTAATCCCAGCTACTTGGGAGGCTAAGGCAGGAGAATTGCTTGAACCTGGGAGGCGGAGGTTGCAATGAGCAGTGATCGCGTCATTGCACCCTAGCCTGGACGACAAGGGCAAAACTCTGTCTCAAAAACAAACAAACAAACAAACAAACAAAGGGTTTAAGCAAACACTGTGTATCAACCACTGTGTTGAAGAAAAATATTATTTTATCTTTGAAGCACTATGGGTGTTTCAACCCAGTGCCATTCCTTTCCCTCTTTGCTCAGAGGTAACCACAATCCTGAATGTTGTACTTTATAATTCTCTTGCACTTCTTTATACGACAAATTTGTCCCCAAATAGTACTCTTTAAATGTGTATAAAACTTTCATTAAATGACATTAGATTCTATCAAGTATTTTTTCTGTGTCCACTGATGTGACTGATGTCACTGCGACTGATCAGTGATGTCAGTAACGTGATGTGTCCACCATATGATCATATGGTTATGCTTTTTCTGTTTTAGTCTGTTAATATGTGTCCATTGATCAATTTCAAATGTTAAAGTCACATTGTATTCCTGGGATAAAATCTTCTTGGTCATGATATATTATCTTTTTTATATATTGTTGGGTTCAATTCACTAAATTTTTATTAGTTTTTATTTTTGAGGGTGGCTTGGACAAATTTATTTTCTCACATTTCTGGAGGATAGAAGTCCAAGATCAACCTGTGAGCAGTGCTGATTTCTCCTGGGGCATCTCTCCTTGGCTCGTAGATGGCTGTCTTCTCCCTGTGTCTTCACACAGTCTTTCATCTGTGTGTGTGCCAAATTTTTACATCAATTCAAGAAGGATATCAATCTAAATTTTTTTTTCTAATGTCCTTGTCTGATTTTGGTATCAGAGTAATGTTGGCTTCATAGAATGAGTTGGGGAAATATTCACTCCTCTTTATTTATCTGGAAGAATGTCTGTAGAATTGTTATTATTTCTTTTTATGAAACAAGTCAAATTTGCCAGTGAAGTCATTTGTACCTGGAGTTTCCTGTGTGAGAAAGTATTTAGCTATAATTCAGTTTCTTTAATATCTACAAGGTTTCCACACTATTTATTTCTTCTTGCATGAATATGATCATTTGAATCTTTCAAAATCTTTGTCCATTACATTTTAGTTGTCAAATTTATTGTGCATAATATTGCCTTAACATCCTTTGAATATCTGTGAAATCTGTACTGATGTCCCCTCTCTCAAACCTAATAATGTTCACACGTCTTGTTTTATATTATACTAATCAGTCTGGTTAATGGTTTATTGACTTTATAAGAAAACTGGCATTTGGTTTCTATGACTTTACCAAATTTTTTCTAACGCATTGATTTCTGCTCTAATTTTTATTTCTCTTATGCTTAATTTGGATTGAATTTACAGTAAAGCCTCCCCTTATCCATGGTTCTGCTGTCTTTGGTTTCAGTTACCTATGGTCAATCATAGTCTAAAATATTAAATGGAAAATTCAAGAAATAAACAATTCACACTTTTTAAATTGTGTACTGTTCTGAGTAGTGTGATGAAATCTTGTGCCATCTTGCTTCATTGCACTCAAACCATTAATCATCCCCTTTGTGCACAGTAGCCGCACTGTATATGTACCTGTGTATTAGTCACTTAGTAAGCATTTTGGTTATCAGATCCATTGTGGTGTATAGTACTATCCTCTACAGCACTATGGGGTTCAGAACTATACTCAGTTTCAGGCATCCACTGGGGGTCCTGGGGCATATCCCCTGTAGACAAGGGGGGTGGAGACTACTGTACTCTACTTTTTCTGTTTTCTTTTTAGACAGGTTCTCATTCTCATTGTCCAGGCTGGAGTGCAGTGGTGTGATCTCAGCTCACTGCAGCGTCGACTTCCCAGGCTCAGGTGATTCTCCCACGTCAGCCTCCCGAGTAGCTAGGACTACAGGCAAATGCCACCATGCCCGACTAACTTTTTGTATTTTCAGTATAGATGGGGTCTAGTCATGTTGCCCAGGCTGGTCTCAAACTCCTACGCTCAAATGATCTGCCCACCTCAGCCTCCCAAATTGCTGTGATTACAGGTGTGAGCCATTTCACACAGCCTCTCTTACCATTTTTTTAAGTGAAAGCTGAGGTCATTTATTTGAAATCTTTCTTCCTTTTCTAAGTTCAGTGTTATAAATTATCCTCTTAGTGACATCTCACAATTTTTCTTATCCCACACATTTTTATAGGAAGTGTTTTTATTTTCATGTAGTTCAAATACTTTCTAATTTCTCTCTGGCTTCCTTCTTTGATCCATGTGTTATTAAGAAGTATATAATTTATTTTCCAAGTATTTGCAGATTTTCCAGATTTCTTTCTGCTATTGAATTCTAATTTAATTTTACTATGCTGACAGAATATATGTTGTATGACTTGAATTCTTTCAAAACTTTTAAGACTTTTTAATAGTCCAGAATGCGGTATGTCCTGTTAAATGTTCTATGTGCTCTTGAAAAAAAATGTGTATTCAGTTGTTGTGCAGAGTGTTCTATAAACGTTAATTAGGTCAAGATAGTTGATAATATTGTTCAAATCTTCTATAGCCTTATTGATTTTTTGGTATACTTGTTCTATTAATTATTGAGACATAGTGTCAAAATCTTTGACTATAACTTTGGATTTGCCTATTTTTCCTGTTGTTTGATGTATTTTTCTCTTATTTTTTGAAGCACTATTATTAGGTGCATAAGCATTTAGAATAATTACATTGTTTTGATGATTTGGTTCCATTAAAGCTATGAAAGGACTCTATTTCTGGTAATATTTTTCTGAAATCTACTTTCTCTGATATCAATGTGACCATTCTAGTAGTCTCTTCATTAATGTTAGCAGGGTATGTCTTTTTCCTTCCTTTTACTTTTAAGTTACTTGTGTCTCTAAAGTGGGACTTGCTGTGGCGCCCATATTGGAGAGCAATGCCATGATCACAGCTCACTGTAGCCTTGAACTCCTGGGCTCAAGTGATCCTCCTGCCTCAGCCTCCCAAAGTGCTGGGATTACAGGCATGAGCCACCATGTCTGGCCATGACTTGCCTTTTTTATCCAATTGACCATTTCTGCCTTTTATGGTCTAACATATATATTTAATGTGACTATTGTTATGGTTGATCTTGAACATACCATCTTGCTGTTGTCCTATCTGTTCTTTCTTCCCTTTCCCCTACTCTGCCTCTTTTGGGTATTTTTTGTATTATTATTAGAGTGTTCTTTTGTTATTATGTATATCTTACAATAGTATATAGACTTACAGACAGTTCATCAACTTAAAATGGTTCAGTGTATGATTTTTTGGCTTTGCAATGTCATATGCATTAAGTAGAAACATATTTTAAGTAACTACATAACCATTCTGTTGTCACTTTCAGTACAGTATCTAATAACTTACATTAGATTTTCAACAGTATATTGTAAAATAGGCTTTGTGTTAGATGATTTTGCCCAACTGTAGGGTAATATAAGTTTTCTGAGCACATGTAAGGCAGGCTAGGCTAAACTATGATGTTTGGTAGCAACACATTTTTTACTTATACTATTTTCAACTTAATGATAGGTTTATTGGAACGTAACCCCATCATAAATAGAGAGGGATCTGTATTTCAATGTCTCCCCTCACAGCCTCTGTGCTGTTATTGTCATATAAAAATAATATATTTTTATATGTCTTAAAAACCCCATTCTACATTGTCATTATTTTTGTTTAAACAATTAACCTTATATTTAAATAAGGAAAATTTTAAAACACATTCATCCAAGTAATTATAATTTCTGATTATCTTCATTTATGTAGATCCATATTTTTATCTGGTACCATTTTTCTTCTACCAGAAAGCCTTCCTTTAACATGTCATATAGTGTACCTGTTGGTGATTTACTCTTTCAACTTTTGTATTTCTGGAAAATTCTTTGTTTTAGAAAAATATTTTTGCTAGTTAAAGAATTCTAGTTGAATAGTATTTTTCTTTCAATATTTTAAAGATACTGTTACACGATGACACCTTTGTATTTTTCCTGTGAGAAATCTGCTGCTGTTCCTCTTTTTTTCTCTGTATGAAATGTGTCGTCCTGTTTTTTAGATGTTCTCTTTAACCATGATTTCAGCAAATTGTTTATAATGTGCCTTGGTGTGGTTTCCTCATTTTTTGTGTCTGTACTTAGAGGTTCATTTGAGATTCATGAATTTGAGTTTCCAGATTTCATTACATTCGAAAACATGTTGACCATTGTTTTCTCAGATATTTTTTCTCTGTCCCTGTTTTTCTCTCATTTGGTGAATCCAATTACATGTATCTGAAACCACCTGAAGTTGCCCCACAATTCACTGTTCAATTCTGTGTGTCTTTTTCCTTTCAGTTTGTATATTTCTACTGTGTGTATTCATATTCACTTGTCTGGTTTCCTGCAATGTCTAATTTGCTGTTACTCTCATCCAGAGTATTTTACATCTCAGATATTAAACTTTTCTTTTCTAGAAATTTGATTTGGGTCTTCTTTTATATCTTCCATAGCTATACTTAATATGATCAATTTTCCTTTGGCTTTTGAATGTATTAAATACAACTATAATAATTTAAATGTCTTTGTCTGCTAATTCTAACATCTGTGTCAGTTCTGGTTTTAACTAATTTTTTTCCTTATTATATGTCTTATTTCTTTACATGCATATTAATATTTTATTGGATTCCAGATATTAGAAATTTTACCTTTTTGTGTCATATATATTCCTGTAATTTTAAATACACTTTTTGTATTTAAAACTTTTTTACAGATAAGATCTGGCTCTGCTACCCAAGTTGGAGTACAGTGGCACAATCACAGTTTACTACAACCTTGAACTCCTGGCCTCAAGCCTCCCAAGTAGCTAGGACTACAGTGTGTGCCACTATGCTTGGCTAATATTTACACTCTGTGTGTGTGCGTAGGGGTTTCACTATATCGCCCAGGCTGGTCTCAAACTCTCGGCCTCAAGCAATCCTCCCACCTTTGCCTCCCCAAATGTTGGAATTACAGGCATGAGCCACTGTGCTTAGCCCTTCCTGTAATTTTTTAAAATGTCATTGGAATATAGTTACTTGGAAAGAGTGATCCTCTTGAGTCTTGCCTTTATGATCTGCTAGGCAGGACTATAGCAGCATTTACTCTATGCTGATTGTGCTGTACAACAGAGGCAATGGCCTCTTGCATACCTTATCCAATGTCCTACGGATTATGAGATATTTTCTCCAATCTTGTGGGTGGGAACAAACATTGGTCTCACTCTTGAGTGTGCTCTGGGTACTGCTTCTTGAATCCTTTTGGCCTAGCCTTGGTAGTTCCCTACATGCATGCTCTGATGAATACTCTGTGCAATACTTAAGGAAAACCCTCCAACTATACGTGGAGTTCACGCTATGCAGATCTCTCTTCTCTGGTATGTTTCTCTGTACACTCTAACCCCCTTGCTTTCCCTGACTCATAGCTCCATTTCTTAGACTCAATAACTGAAAACTGTGATATTAATTTTACATCAAGCTTCATAGTATGGTATTAATTTTCCAGAAATAAGTTTAAAAATAGTGAATCTGGCTGGGTGCAGTGGTTCACATCTGTAATACCAGTACTTTGGGAGGCCAAGGTAGGTGGATCACTTGAGTCCAGAAGTTTGACACCAGCCTGGGCAACATGGCAAAACCCCATCTCTACAAAAAAAAAAAAAAAATACAAAAATTAGTTGGGCATGGTGTTATGTGCCTGTGGTCCCAGCTACTCAAGAGGCTAAGGTGGGAGGACTGCTTGAGCCCAGGAGGTCGAGGCTGCAGTGAGCCATGATTGCACCACTGTACTCCAGACTGGGCAACAGAGTGAGACCTTGTCTCAAAAAAAAAAAAAAATAGTTAATCTACTTAACATATGAAACATCTTTATTCTTATAACTACAGCCTTCTAAATCATACAACCAATGGCCCTAAGACCACTTAAGTCTTAAAACGTAATGAGGAGTAAGAGAGCCAAATAGAAGCTTCCACTGATAATCCTCCCCACAAGCACACCGAATTGAACTACTAGACACATGAAAAAGCCCCTTCATAAGAACCAAAAATCAGGTGAGTGATCACAGTAACCACTTTTACTTCATATCACTGAAAAAGGCACTGAAGGGGATAGGAAAGACAGTCTTGATTTGCTGACACCACCACTCCCACGTCCTCCACTCCCCTGAAGAAGACACATGGTACAGACAGAATCTGTGCACCTTGGGGAGGGAGAGCATAGTGATTGGAGACTTTGCACTGGAACTCAGTGCTTTCCACCCTGTCATGGTGGAAAGCAACACCAGGCAGAACACAGCCAGAGTCCATGGAGGGAGCACTCAGACCAGCCCTAGCCAGAGGGAAATTGCCCATCCCAGCAGTCAGAACCTGAGTTCTGCCAAGCCTTGGCACTGCAGGCTAAAGCGCTCTGGGGTCCTAAACAGACTTGAAAGGTAGTCTAGGCCCTAAGGACTGCAATTACTGGGCAAGTCTTGATGCTGTGCTGGGCTTGGAGTAAGTGGACTTGGGGGGTAATAACCTAGTGAGACAGCCGTTGGGCGGCTAATGCAGTGCTTGCACCACTCCTCCCCCAACCCCAGGCAGTGCAGCTCACGGCTCCAGGAGAGACTCCTGCCTTCTGCTAGAGGAGAAAAGAGGGAAGAGTTAAGAGGACTTCATCTTGCAACTTGAATCCTAGCTCTACCACAGTAGGGGGCACTGGGCAGAGTCCTGGGGCCCCCATTCTAGGCTTTAGCTCCTGGATGACATTTCCAGACACACACTCTGCCAGAAGGAAACTCGCAGCTTTGAAGGGGAGAACCCAGACCTGGTAGGATTCATCACTTGCTGACTAAAGAAAATGTGGGTCCTGAATAATTAGCAGCAGTAGCCAGGCAGTACTTGCCATGGGTCTTGGGTGAGACTCAGAGACATGCTAACTTATGGTATGGCCCAGCACATTCCCAACTATGGTGGCTACGGAGAGGGTCTCCTGCTTGAGAAAAGGAGAGGGACTTGGTCTTGCACCTTAGGTACCAGCTCAGCCGTAGTGGTATAGAGCACAAAGCGGGTTCTTGGGATCACCAATTCCACACTTTGGCTCTTAGACAGCATCTCTGGATCTGCCCTGGGCCAGAGGAGAGCCCACTGCCCTGAAGAGAGAGTCCCAGGCCTGGCAGCATTCACCATGAGCTGACTGAAGAGTCCTTAGACCTGGAATGAGCATCAGTGGTAGACAGGCAGTACTTGCCATGGACGTGGTGGTGGTGGCTGTGGGGAGAGAGTCCTCTGCTTGTGGAAAGAAGAGGGAAAAGTGGGGCTTGGTGCCAGCTCAGACTCAAGAAAATGGAGCACCAGGTAGACATCTAAGGTTTCTGACTCTAGGCCCTGGCTCCTGGACGGCATCTGTGGACTCACTCGAGGCCAGGGGGACCTTGCTGTCCTGAAGGGAAGGACACAAGCCTGGGTGGCTTTACCACCTGCTTATTGCGGAGCTCTAGTGTCCTAAGCAAATGTAGGTGGTAGCCAGGCAGTGGTTACTGTGAGCCTAGGGAGAGACCCAGTGCTGTGCTGCCTTCAGGTCTGACCCCAAACAGTACCAGTGGTAGTCGTAGTGGCCACAGGGTGCTTGTGTCAGCCCTACACCGGTTCTAGGTGGCTCAGCACACAGAGAGAGGCTTTATGTGTTTGGGGGAAAATAAGGGAAGAGAGCAGAGTCACTACCTGGTAATTTCAGGGAATTAATTCTCCCAGATCTTATCCAAGACCACCAACATGGCACCTCTACAAGTCTGTAAGAGTCACAGCATTACTGGGCTTGGGGTGCCCCCTAATGCAGTTATGGTTGCAGGGGCCGAAGATTAAGGTCACAACACTCAATTCCCTTGAAGAGCCAAAGCGTGGAATTGATGACCCCAAGAACCGATTTAAAACCTTCCCAAGAAGGATGGGTACAACAAGCCCAGACTGCAAAGACTACAATAAATACCTAACTCTTCAATGTTGAGACAATGATAAACAATCACAAGCCTCAAGACCATCCAGGAAAACATGACTTCACCAAACGAACTAAATAAGGCACAAGTGACCCAAACCCAGAGAGACAGACATAAGTGACCTTTCAGATACAGAATTCAAAATAGCTGTTTTGAGGAAACTCAGTGAAATTCAAGGTAACAAAGAGAAGTCATTCAGACTCCTATCAGATAAATTTAACAAGGAGACTGAAATAATTAAAAAGAATCAAACAGAAATTCTGGAGTTGAAAAATGTAATTGACATAGTGTAGAATGCATGAGATTCTCTTAACAGCAGAACTGATCAAGCAAAAGAAAGAATCAGTGAGCTTGAAGCCAGGCTATTTGAAAAGACAGTCAGAGAATAAAAAGAATAAAAAAACAATGAAGCACACCTACAAGATCTAGAAAACAGCCTCAAAAGAGCAAATCTAAGAGTTATTGGCCTTAAAGAGGAGGCAGAGAGAGAGACAGGGGTAAAAGGGATTTACCCAAAGGGTAAATTTTTTTACTCAAAGGGATCGTAACAGATAATTTCCCAAACCAAGAGAAAGATATAGAACACCAAGCAAATTTACCCCAAATAAGACTACCTCAAGACAAGTAATAAGCAAATCCTCAAATGTCAAAGATACAGAAAGGATCCCAAAAGCAGCAAGAGAAAAGAAACAAATAATAAACAATGGAGCTCCAGTAAGTGTTGCAGCAGACTTCTCAGTGGAAACCCTACAGGCCATGAGAGAGTGACAGGATATATTTAAACTGCTGAAGGAAAAAAAGAACGCTTTTTATTCTAGAATAGTATATCTGGCATAAATATCCTTCAAACGTGAAGGAGAAATAAAGATTTTCCCAAACAAAACCTGAGGGATTTCATCTACACCAGATGTGTCCTACAAGAAATGCTAAAGGGAGTTCTTCAATCTGAAAGAAAAGGACATTGATGAACAATGAGATATTATTTGAAGGTACAAAACTCACTAGTAATGTTAAGTACATAGAAAAACACAGAATATTAAAACATTGTAATTGTGCCATGTAAACTACTCTTACCTTGAGCAGAAAGACTAAAATATAAACTGATCAAAAATACTAACTACAACAACTTTTTAAGACATACACAGTACAATAAGATATAAACAGAAACAATCAAAAGTTAAAAAGCAGGAGGATGAAGTTAAAGTGCAGAATTTTCATTAGTCTTCTTTTTGCCTGTTTATTAGTTTGTTTCTTTATGCAGTCAGTGTTGTCATCAGTTTAAAATAGTGGGTTATAAGATAGTATTTGGAAGCCTCATGGTAACCTCAAATCAAAAACATACAACGGATATACAAAAAAGAAAAAGAAAGAAATTAAATCATACCACCAGAGAAAATCACTGTCACTAAAAGTAAGATAGGAAGGAATGAAAGAAGGATGAGAAGACCACAAAACAACCAGAAAACAAATAACAAAATGGCAAGAGTAAGACCTTACTTATCAATAACAAAATTGATTGTAAGTGGACTACATTCTCTAATCAATAGACACAGAGTGGCTGAATAGATTTAAAAAAAAAGATGCAATAATCTGTTGCCTATAAGAAATACACTTCACCTAAGAAGACAGACATAGATTGAAAATAAATAGATAAAAAAAGATATCCCATCCCAGTGGAAACTAAAAAAGAGCAGGAGTAGGTATATTTCCATCAGGCAAAATAGATTTCAGGGCAAAAATTATGAAAAGAGACAAAGAAGGTCACTATATAATGATAAAGGGCTCAATTCAGCAAAAGGATATAGCAATTATAAATGTATATGCATCCAACACTGGAACACCCAGATAAATGAAGCAAATATTACTAAAGCTAAAGAGGCAGAGAGATCCCAATACAATAATGGCTGGAGACTTCAACACTTCACTTTCAGCATTGGACAGATCATCGAGACAGAAAAATCAACAAACATCAGATTTAATCTCACTATTATAGACCAAATGGACTAAATAGATGTTCATAGAACATTTCCCACAATGGCTGCAGAATACACATTCTTCTCCTAAGCACGTAGATCATTCTGAAGGGTAGACCACACATTAGACTACAAAACAAGTCTTAAAATATGCAAAAAAAAAACCCTGAAATTATATCGAGTATATTCTCTGACTACAATGTAATAAAACTATACATCAGTAAAGACATAAATTTTGAAAACTAAATATAAACACATGGAAATTAACCAATACACTCCTGAATGACCAGTGGATCAATTAAGAAAGAATGGCTTTGGCTATTCTTCACAGAAACAGAAAAAAAGACAATCCTAAAATCTATGTCATATCACAAAAGGCCCAGAATAGCCAAAGCCATCCTGAGCAAACTGAACAAAACTAGAGGAATCACATTACCTGACTTCAAATTATACTACACAGCTAAAGTAATCAGAACAGCATGATCCTGGCATAAAACTAGAGTCATAGATTAATGGGACAGAACAGAGAAACTAGAAAGAAATCCATATATCCACAATGAACTTATTTTTGACAAATAAGCCAAGAACATACACTGGGGAAAGAACAGTCTCTTCAATAAACGGTACTGGGAAAACTGGATATTCATATGCAGGAGAATGAAACTAGACTCTTATCTCTCACCATATAAAAAAAAATCAAATCTACATGGATTAAATACTTACATATAAAACCCCAAACCATGAAACTACTACAAGAAAACATCAGGGAAATGCTCCAGGACATTAGACTCGGCAACGATTTCTTGAGTAATACTCCACAAGTACAAGCAACCAACTGCAAACATGGGCAAATGGGATCACATCAAATTAAAAAGCTTTTTTGGCCGGGCGTGGTGGCTCATGCCTGTGATCCCAGAACTTGGGAGGCCAAGGCGGGCGGATCACAAGATCAGGAGATCGAGACCATCCTGGCTAACACGATGAAACCTCGTCTCTACTAAAAACACAAAAAATTAGCCGGGCGTGGTGGCAGGCACCTGTAGTCCCAGCTACTCGGGAGGCTGAGGCAGGAGAATGGTGTGAACCCGGGAGGCGGAGCTTGCAGTGAGCAGAGATTGTGCCACTGCACTCTGGCCTGGGTGACACAACGAGACTCTTGAGATCGTGCCATTGCACTCTAGCCTGGGTGACAGAATGAGAATTCGTCTCATAAAACAAAACAAAAAAAGCTGCTTCTCAGCAAAAGAAACAGTGAACAAAGTGAAGAGACAATCCACAGAATGGGTGAAAATATTTGCAAACTACCCATCTGATATGGTTTGTCTCTGTGTCTCCACCCACATCTCATGTTTAATTGTAATTCCAAATGTTGGGGAAAGGACCTGGTGGGAGGTAATTTGATCATGGGGGTGGATTTCCCCCTTGCTGTTTGTTCTCATGATAGTTAGTGAGCTCTCATGAGATCTGATTGTTTAAAAGTGTGCGGCACTTTCCCCTTTTCTCTCTTTATCCTGGTCTGACATGTAAAGATGTGCTTGCTTCCCCTTTGCCTTCTGCCATGATTGTAAGTTTCTTGAGGCCACTCAGTCATGCTTCTTGTACAGCCTGCAGAACTATGAGTTAATTAAACTTCTTTTCTTCATAAATTACCCAGTCTCAGGTAGTTCTTTAAAACAGTGTGAGTGAGAACAGACTAATATACCATCTGAAAATGGATTATTAAACAGTATACATAAAGAGCTCAAACAACTCCAGAGGAAAAAAATCTAAAAATCTGATTTTAAAAATGGACAAAATATCTGCACAGATATTTCTCAAGACATAAAAATGGCAAACAGGTATAGTAAAAGGTGCTCAACATCATTGATCATCAGAGAAATGCAAGTCAAAACTATAGTGAGATGTCATCTCACCCCAGTTAAAATGGCTTTCATCCAAAAGACAGGCAATAACAAATGCTGGCAAGGATGTGGAGAAAAGGGAACCCTCAAACACTGTTGGTGGGAATGTAAATTAGTACAACTATTATGGAAAATGGTTTGGAGGTTCCTTAAAAAACTCAATATAGAGCTCCCATATGATCCAGCAATCCTACTGCTATGTATATACCCAAAAGCAAGGAAATCAGTATATCAAAGAGATATCTTCACTCCCATGTTTATTGCAGCACTATTCACAATAGCCAAGATTTGGAAGCTACCTAATTGTCCATCAACAGAGGAATGAATAAAGAAAATGTACATATAAATAATCAGGTACTACATGTACCCTAGAACTTAAAGTATAATAAAAAATAGGAAAAAAATATGGTTATGGAAGATAAAAGAAAGTTTCAAGCATGTTGGCTTGAATGGCCAGTTCCAGGTTGGCAAAAATAATTATCTCTTTCTTTTTCTTTCGACCCATGGAATAAAAAATTATGAGAAAAGAAAAAAAAATCAGGTACTATTCAGCCATAAAAAAGAATGAGATTCTATCTTTTCCAACAAATGGATGGAACTGGAGGTCATTATGTTAAATGAAATAAGCCAGGCACAGAAAGGCAAACTTTGAATGTTCTCACTTTTTTTGTGGGATCTAAAAATTAAAACAACTGAAGTCATGGAGATAGAGAATAGAATGATGATAACCAGAGGGGTTGGGAAGGCTAGTGTGTGCTGGGGGGTTGGGGGCGGGGGGCTTCTGGGGAGTGGCGGTGGGGAAGTGGGAATGATGAATGGGCACAAAAATATAGTCAGAATAAGATCTAGTATTTGATAGCATAACAGGGTGACTACAGTCAACAATAATTTATTGTACTTTTTTTTTCTTTTTCTTTTTCTTTCTTTCTTTCTTTTTTTTTTTTTTTTTTGAGACGGAGTCTCGCTCTGTGGCCCAGGCTGGAGTGCAGTGGTGCTGTCTCCGCTCACTGCAAGCTCCACCTCCTGGGCTCACACCATTCTCCTGCCTCAGCCTCCCGAGTAGCTGGGACTACAGGCACCTGCCACCATGCCCGGCTAATTTTTTTGTATTTTTAGTAGAGACGGGGTTTCAACCATGTTCTCCAGGATGGTCTCAATCTCCTGACCTCATGATCCGCCTGCCTCAGCCTCCCAAAGTGCTGGGATTACAGGTGTGAGCCACCGTGCCTGGCCCATTTATTTTCTTTTTTTTTTTTTGAGATGGAGTCTCACTCTGTCACCCAGGCTGGAGTGCAGTGGTGTGATCTTGGCTCACTGTAAGCTCCACCTCCTGGGTTCATGCCATTTCTCCTGCCTCAGCCTCCGGAATGACTAAAATAGTATAATTGGATTGTTTGTAATACAATGACAGGATAAATGCTTGATGTGATGGACACCCCATTTACTCTGATGTGATTAGTATGCATTGTACACCTGTATCAAAACATCTCATGTACCCCATAAATATATACTTATCACATAACTACAAAATTAAAAGGAAACATAATGGAAGAACACTAAGCTAAGAATGTGATCAGTGGCTGAGGACAATATCCTTTGGAGGTCTCATCACTTACTTCTTTCCTACATAAGGATATTATGAAATCATTGCTGAGAACAGGCAAGTTTTATTTGGTTGGTTGGTTGGTTGGTTGGTTTTTTTGAATACAGGACCATAAAAAGAAAGCAGCTGAGTGGGCAGACTGAAAAGAAACCATATCTAGGCTCAGGGTTATTCTCCTGTCCTGACAACATACATGCTGTCTTCATGAGCAGCAGTCACAGCCAGTCAGCCGTCAGGTCTTCCTTTCAAGAATTCTCATACCTGGACCTATGGCTTTTGTTATTCCATGGCTGAATTTTTGCAATTGCCTCCAACTTGCTCTTGACCCACCTCTGTCTCTGTAACTCTACTACTCATCTTATTTACCACATCAACATTCATCCATGCTAAACATCACTTTCATAATTTTTCTAAGCTACTCCAAACCTTCACTAATATTTCACTGCCTATGAATAATATTCTCTTTATCTTTGTATCCCAGATTTGTACCCTTTTTACCTTTTCCATTATATTATCCTCTATTCATCTTCAAGTCACATAGAGTGATTCCTGTTTTTTTCTCATTTGTGTTTATCTCTTGTTGAAAATGCCGCTGATCTCACATGTTTAGATGCTGCACTGTTACTCCTTCTGGGACCTGTACTTCCTAGAATATTCTCTCCATCTCTGCTCCCGATCCTGCCTCAGAACACTTTAGCATTTCCTCCAAGAATACGTACCACTTTCTACTCTGTACTACACTGATTTATGGACAACCTCAATGAAGGCAAAGATAGCATTTTACTCATCTTTACAAAATAAACAGTTACAGTTTACAACGATACTATGAAGTCTCTGCTCCATCTTTTTTTTTTCCCACCTGACACAGAGAAAAGACTATTTGTGCAAGATTGCTCCTAGGAAACCTCATTCTCTGCTCATTTCTGGAATCTGTCAGGGATGGACTATGTTTACCACTCAAATTGTAAAAGCTTTCATGATTCTCAGACCTTTGACAAATATTTCTGCTATCAGCAAGAAATTGATATTCATTAAACCATCAATAAAAGGGGCACAGGCTACCTTAAGGCAAACGGCCATTATTCACTATTAACTGATGGAAAACACACCTCTGTTTCCACTATTTATAATGTATGTTTTCACATTGTCTAGTGACCCCTTTTTTAACAGATAGGAAGGAAATGAAAACTTATTACCAATTTAGCATGTGTCAGAAATCATGGTAAGCATTTCAATATGTGTTATCTCATTTAATCCTTACAAAAACTCTTTGAGTTGGGTTTTATTATCTTCATTTCACAGAGGAGGGAACTTAGGCTAAGAAGGGTTATGACATAAAGTTTGTACGTGGAACAGCAGGGATCTGAAGGGTTCCTGACTTCAAAGCACAAATTCCTTCTACTGTGTGACTTTGAGAAGATTTTGCTAATGACTTTGCCATAAAGAACTACATATTTCTACTACTTAACACTATCTACTAAAGTAGAATTTCATACCAACCTATATGAAACAGCATATGTGTTTCTTTTTTTTTTTTTATATTGGAAGGTCTAATAGTTCATTAACTTTCTGGGTATTTTTCATGAGAAAATTACTGGGATTTTTTTTTCAACTTTTAAGTTCAGAGGCGCATGTAGAGGTTTGTTACCTAGGTATACTTGTGTAATAGAGGTCTGTTGAACAGATTATTTCATCACCCAAATATTAAGCCTAGTACCCATTAGTTATTTTTCCTGATCCTCTCCCTCCTCCTACCCTCCACCCTCCAATAGGCCCCAGAGTGTGTTGTTCCCCTCTATGTGTCCAGCATATAATGTTTTTAAAAATAATTGTTGATACTCTCAGAAATAAGAGTTATAATAAGTTGTTTAGAGTCTCACGCACCTGGAAACTTTTACCAAGACAGGCATGGACTACTGTTGGCATTGTGTCAGAGCAGGGGAAAAGGGAAAAATAAGACAGAGACGGAGACAGACAGACAGAGAGAGAGAGACAGTGCTAGGTGATATCATAGAGAATTTATTGTTTGTACATGGTAATGAAGCAACAGAAAGAACCACAGATGAATCCAAAGTGTGTGGCCTCGTGATTGAAATATGCCATTATTAGAAAGAAGATACAAGGGAAAAAGTAGTGTAGGATCAGGCCAACAGTCCAGTGTAGCATAAACAGCATGGAGCACCCTAGGACCCACATCTCCCTTTCACTGACACCCTCACCAAAGTTTTTAATGCCACCTAAGACAGCATTAGCTTTCCTGGCAGCTGAACCGGGCTACTGCTGGCTCATCAACTGTGTGCAGTCAGCTAAAAATCCTGAAGTCGTTTTTCGTACTAACTGCCGTTAAACCAGATCATCTCCATCCGATGAATGTTTACGGAGAGCCGGTGGTACATCGGGCACCATGCTAGGCACTGAGGTTGTAAAAGGAGCAAGGTAGTCCTGAGCCCTGCACTGGCAGGGCTTCTAACACACAAGTAATCACAAAGAGTGGAGTAAGTGCTAGCAAACCTACCTGGCCAAAGCTACCTCCAGCTCTCACCTTGACAGATGTAACATCTCTTGACTAATCTGTGGGACTCTGCATTTAGTCCCTATGGTCTATTTTCCACAACAAAGCTACTGTAATTATTTAAAAACTAAAACCAAACCAAAACAAAAATCTTATTATAATAGCCCCTTGCTTAAAGCCTCCCAGTTAGCTTCCAACCACATTTAGAAGAAAATCCAAAGGCTTCCACAGCTTCCAAGCCCTGCCTGGGCTGAGTGCAGCAGCCCCTCCAATATCATCTGCACAGCTCTGCCCTGGATCAGGGTACTTCACCCAATCCAGCCTCACCACAAGTCCTAGGACACGCAAACCATGCCCCTCCTCAAGGTTTTGGAACATGCTCTTTTCCATACTGTGGTGCTATTCTCACAGATAGCCACAAAGTTCACTGACCTCCTTTGATCTTATCTCCAAAAATGTCATCTTATCAGAGAGGTCCTCCCATCGCCACCCTATGTAAAGCAGGCCTCCCAACCCTGACTGTCCATCATTATCTTCTTATCATTCTCCATTTTTCTTCAAAAGACTTGGTACTGCCTGGCATCTTCCCCAAGAAAACATAAGCTTCACGTGGACATGAGCTTTACTTTGTTCACTGTTTTATCTCTGGAGCCTAGAACATGTCTGAAATGTAGTAGGCACTCAATACATATTTGTTAAATAAAAGGCTGGTCAGAGAACCTTGAAAGTTGGTAATGAGGCACCTAACAGTAGCCCATGGATTGGGCTTTTCTGGAAATGTATAGGAAATTGGGAAGATGTGTTTCGGGCAAAGAAAACATGAGAACCTAAAAGCAGCCTAAAATGAGGAACCCTAAGATCTTCCATTTGGCTGGGGTGCTCAGTGTGAGAGGGAGCCTGGAGAGAGAACAGGCGGAAGAGAAAGGAAGGGGCCAGTCATAGAGAATCTCAAAAACCACATTAATGAGTTCTGTCTTCATCCTCAGGGCAATGGGATGTTGTTAAGGGATTTTTAGCAAGGAAGTGACATGATCAGATTTGTGTTTTAAAATGATCACCCAGGCTGCAGCGTGGAAAATAAATTGGATGGGAGTAAGGCAGGAAGCAGTTGCTTCCTTTTTTGAACCCAAATACAGGAATTTACATTCATCCCTATTAAATTTAATCTTCTGAATTGCGGCTCAACAGTTCTCCCTGTTGAGACCTTTTTGAATCCTGATTCTGTCATCCAGTGTGATTTGCTAACCTACCAAGTTATGTGGCTCCTACAAACGTGACAAGTAAGCCTGCTATATCCAAATCATGTGCAGGGCTTACATTACTGAAAACCATGTCTGCTCTCTTCATGGCACTTTTGCCTGTGGTTGTGAGATTTCCTGGCTGGGTGAAAACATTTTCTGATCATTCCATGGTATTTCTTATTGCAAAGTTAATGAGCCAGCCCAGAATGGAAGTAACCATAAAGACGTAGTAACTCAAGCTACCCAGAACTTTCCTGTGCATTTCCTCAAGAGCTTATGACTTTACCATAAGGTGCCAACCCATTTTATTCTTGCATGAATTAATTTTGGCACCTGGTTTCTGGCTGGGGATTGTATAGCTGCTTTGTTCTTGGCTACAATAAGTGCTATCAAAAAATTTCTCTTCTGGCACGAATTGAAGTACATAATACTGTCTATATTTCTGCCCAGAATCTACTATCATCTGTTTAATATGCAAACTGTGCAAAACCAGGGCTACTACTGTGTAATAGATTTTGAAAAGTTGTCATCCAGATTCATTGTTTATTAGAGTTTATTAACTTTGGGGGTTTATGTGCTGTCTCTTCATTTCAGAGCACACAACCATTCACTTAAATGGGATGCACAAAGTTCTTCACACACTCTAGTGAACTCATCTGGTATTTTATACTGATCTATTAGATGAGCTCACTTAAATCACGCTCCTTTCTGCAGAAAAGGCGATTACACATACATATTAAATATCTGCTAGCTTTTTGGAAAGTATTGAGTTATATTAAGAATCTCGAACAAAGTTGAGCTAATAGAAAACATTAACTGGACAAACAGACAGTGGCTAGACCCAGAGTCCAGAGTGACCTCACAGGCAGCATTTTTTTTTTTTTTTAAACAGAGTCTCCCTTTGTCCCCCAGGCTGTAGTGCAGTGGTGCAATCTCAGCTCACCGTAACTTCCGCCTCTCAGATTCAAGCAATTCTCCTGCTTCAGCCTCCCGAGTAGCTGGAATTACAGGCACGTGCCACCACACCCAGCTGATTTTTGTATTTTTAGTGGAGATGGAGTTTCACCATGTTGGGCAGGCTGGTCTTGAATTCCTGACCTCAGGTGATCTGCCCACTTCAGCCTCCCAAAGTGCTTGGATTACAGCCATGAGCCACCATGCCCAGCCACAGGCAGTAATTTTTAAAATCTTTTTTTCCTAAGACCAGAGATTTCTTTGGACATCTCAGAGGCAAATAATAAAGGGAGGGAAAAGGTAAAAGCAATGGGCTGTACCCATAGTGTGTTCTCTCCTGCTACTCTCTCTTCCTCCCCATCCCCCTCCTACATTAAATAAAATTTTTGCTGTAAAAATTTGAAAGAGATTTACAAAATCTATTTACAATTATTTGCCTATGAGTTAATTATAGATTGACTGATTTTTTTAGCAATCTCTCTGCATACTTAGAAATTCTTTTGAGTTGTAAAAAAACCAAAAGTGTAACCTTTTTGCAATTGATATTTTTTAAAATAATAAATTCTAAGTGTAATAATTACTAAAATTGGCATAAGCTTCCATTTCAGGGATAAACATTTATTAATTTCACACTTGGATTTATGTTCATACATTACAGCCAATAATTTTGTTCATATCTCACATACTTCAGTAGGTTTTTGTAAAGCTTATAGGCTCTAGGCCTTGTGCCTATAGTGACTCATAAGAAAAATAAAACCCTTGCCTGTTTCGATCAGAAGAATTGCTTCAACAATTTAGGACATAAAAATAGAAAATTTGGGCTGGGCGTGGTGGCTCATGTCTTGTAATCCTAGCACTTTGAGAAGCCAAGGTGGGTGGATCATGGGGTCAGGAGTTCGAGACCAGCCTGACCAACATGGTGAAACCCCACCTCTATTAAAAATACAAAAATTAGCTGAGCATTGTGAAGCACGTCTGTAATCCCAGCTACTCAGGAGGTTGAGGCAGAAGAATCGCTTGAACCCAGGAGGTGGAGGTTGCAGTGAGCCATTGTACCATTGCACTGCAGCCTGGGTGACAGAGCGAGAGACCATCTCAAAAAAATAAAAAAAAAAATATATATATATATATATATATATATACACACACACACACACACACACACATATACACACATATATACACACACATATACATATATACACACATATATACATGCACACATATATATACATATATACTTATCTACACACATATATACACACATACATATATGTGTATATGTATGTGTGTATATATATATGTATGTGTGTATATATATAAAATTTAAAACCAGTAGGTTAGAGACATTAAGAAAAAATAGTAATTTGTTGTTATATTTTTCTCTCTGGGTGTCTCCTTCCTGCATCTTGTTCCTTCACTAGCTTCTCTGGTTATTCTTCTCTCTGGGTGTCTCCTTCCTGCATCTTGTTCCTTCACTAGCTTCTCTGTTTGAAGATGGTACTATGATTCTCTCAAGCAACTCTCACTTCTTATCCTCTGTTCCAGCTTAAATATAATTGGCCAAGCTTGACTTTGGCAGTGGACAGAGAATCAGGACATTGCTCTCTTATCATTTTTCTACTTATTCTACAATTCTGTCAAAACAAAATTAAAATAATAGTCTCTCAGGACTAAGATCTAAAGCAACTCAGAAATTCTGCCTAACTAATGAGGCTGTCTGTGCACTTCTGCACACATGCAGTGACCAGAAACTTACAGACACACTGGGTGGCTATGGCAGACATGTAGCTTGACTGATCCAATGCCACCTACAACCCTGTTTTCCCTAGCTACTTTCTGGCTAGACAGTATGTGACATGTGATAGTCCTGGCCAATGAATAAGAGTAGAAGTTTGCTGGACAGCACTTCTTAGCTGATACTGGATTTCCTGAATTAGGGAAGAATGTTGGCGTACCCTTTTGCCTTCTGTTACTTTTTTTTTTTGCCTGAAACATGGATGTGATTGCTGAAGACATAGAAGCCATCTGTACACTCCACAGTGACAAATATGGGTGCGAGAGCCAGAAAGTCAAGAGTGGCAGAGTGAAGAGGAGAAGGAGCCTAGGCCTCTGGTACCTTCACGGAGACCCTGGATTGGCCTTATTCAGGCTTCACATTACATAAGACAAATGAACTCCTGCTTACAACAACAGTTTGGTACGGATCCCTGAGCATTGCAGTGGAATGTGCTCGTAGCTAATGCTATTTTAACTGATAAAGAGTACTGTTCTGTGTTGACCTAAAACCTCTTAACAAACATGTCATCATTCTGCCCCATAAATATTCTTATTTGTCTTTCCAGGTGATAAGTCCTCAATGATACGAAGTAAGCATTAAACATACTTCATACCCCTTTTGTCCTTTTTGTAGTTAAATATCTGCATTTCTTTTTACCATGAACAGGCTTCTGCTTTTTTATTCTATTTTAAAATTAGTTTTATACTGCCAATTGATTTTATTATATGTGTAATACATATTTGTGGTAAAGATTTGAAATATACAGAAACATATAAAAAATAAAGTAAAAATTATACACGTAACTTCCACTAAGAGAAAGTCAATATTAACATTTTGCCAAACTTTCTTCTTTGATTTATAAGCCATGCGTCACTAGATGACTGAGATAGGTTCTGAGAAATGCATTGCTAGGCAGTTTCATCATTGTGTGAACATCATAACACGTACTTCCACAAACCTCGATGGTTTAGCCTGCTACACACCTAGGCTATATGGCCTAGCCTATGGTACCTATGCTGTTAACCCATAGAGCACGTTACTATAGTGAATACTATAGGCAATTTCAACCTAATGGTAAGTATCTGTGTTTCTAAACAAATCTAAACATAGAAAAGATATAGTAAACATAGACTGTTATAAGCTCATGGGACTAATATGCAGTCTGCAGTTGACTGAAATGTTACTACATCGTACATGATTATATATATACATACACACACACATACACACTACTATAATTGTATACTCTGCTTTTTTTAACTGGCATTTTACCATTAACATTTTTTATTTCATGAAGCATTCTGAAGATTTCTATTAGTTGCATAATAGTGTATTATATAGATTAGATTAATATTATATAATTTCACTAATTCTCTTATTGCTGGAAAATTAACTATAGGGAAAATTTTTATATTCCATCTTGGTCAAGTCTTTTATTTTTTTGGTAGGATAATTTTTAGAAATAGAATTACTGGGTAGAAGATGAAAATAGTGTTAAGGTGCCTATATAATTACCACTCTGCCTTACAGAAAGCAGCATTCATTTAAATGGCCAACAAGCATGTTCTGTACCACTGGAACATATATATTTCAGCATTTGCCAATGTTTGCCAATATAATATCTCAATTTTCTTAATTACTTGTGAGGTTGAATATATTTCATATTTATGTCCCAAATAAATTTCTTTTGCCCTTTGTGAATTGTCATATACTTTTCCAATTCCGAATTGAAATATTTGTTTTCCCATAATTTATAAGAGCTCTTCATATGTTAAGGATGTTAATCTTTTGTCAAGTATTTTCTAATTATTCCTTTATTCTCTTGAATGACAAAGAACATGTGGATAATAGGGAGCGATTATTAAAGCAGTGTCTCTTAATCCTATTTTAAGAATGTTGGCATTTCCAAATCAAGTAACTTTACAGGATGTTGCTGAATTAAAAAAAAAAAAGAACAATGTAATCCAAAGTGAACTCTTAGGATCACTTCTTGGTTTTACATATATTATCCATAGTAAATATCTTCTCCAACTTAAACAAATTTTTCTCTTTTCATTGAAATAAGCTTCTCCAAGTATTTCTCTTACACACCAGCATTTTATTTTTAAAATGAACCTTCTAAAACACACCTAGAAAAGTGCATGGTAATAACATATTAAACAACAATTTAAGGCTATTAACTTCTTTTACAGATATGATATTCCCAATCCATTAATGACGAAGCATATCATCAGTTTTCCCAGTGGGGTGGACAATTAGACTGAGCCGCCTTTAGAAATTCTTGCCCTTAAATGACTTTGTGACCACATTTTCAATATAACAACATCTCTAAATTATAGCTTGGTCACGGATAAGCCCTTTAAGTAAGTACTATTTTTTAAAGGGATACACATTTAGATATCTAATGGGTTAGTTAATTTAGCCCATTTTAGAGTTAACTCACATATCCATCAACATCAAGAAGTTATGCTGGCTACTGTACAAACTGGGTCATGCGAACGTAGGGCCTTTTAATGTTTCTCAGTTGTCTTAGCATATGAGGTGACAGTAAATAGATTGTACTTGCATTATTAAGCTCTTTGATTAAACCTAAATACAAAAATTGCTTTGCAGATAAAAATTTGCATAAATTATGAAGCTACATTGGGTCTGTACCAAGTGTTTAAACCATTTGGAATGGAATATTCTCAATTTATTTTGAGTCAATTGTCTTCTTTGAGTCAGGATTTTTTTTTTTTTTTGGTATCACCTTGGGGTATTTTTCGTGACAACTAATACTGTGTGACCCAAGGTGAACAAAATCTCTAAATATTCAGCTTACACAATATTTGCCACAAGTGACATGCAACCAAATTGCTCTATACTAATGTAATTCAATTTCATGTTGCTTCAGGTAAAAGCAAGCAGTTCAAGCATGTTTTGAATATAATTCCCATGGCACTGTGTTTATGTACAGACTACGTTATTTTTGTGCAAACAGTTTTATGAAAAAATCAAAATGGGATTAATAAATAAGAAGCACACAAATTTTTTTATTACAGGAATATTATCTTCTACTCTGTTCTGCAACCAAAAGGAAAAACATCTTATACATTAAAATAATATAAATAAAAACACATACTTCTTGAGATTAAAAAACAAACAAAAAACCTAAAAGGAAGATACAGAGGAATACAAAAGGAAAAAAGAATGCCTGTAATGAACAGAAGACTAGGAGGGGCCACAAACAATTTGATCTAATTTACCCTCTCTTGTGGTGCAAGTGAATTCACATGACCTAAACCAATTATGTCAAGTGATTGCCTAATTTATTCATAGATTCCTCCAATTAGGAAATAAAGCACACAGCCCTTTTCTTCAAGTTTTAAACAACTGCTTTCATTCTTCTTTATTTAATGAAATTGAAGCCTTTGACCTTCTTTATTTCCTGTGTTTGGTTCCTTCCTTAAATACGTTCATTTTTATCAGCCTTTCCCAAACACTTTCCTTTTAAGTGGACAAAACCAGGTAAGTGAATATGAGCGTATGGTGCTATGTTCTGGGCTACCTTTATCCTCATTCTATTTTCCTACTCAAACAAACCATTAATTTGCACTTTTATTCACTTGTCATTTAATCATTTGTTTCTACTTTTATTTATTCAATCTTTTGATGTAGGAAAAGGGAACCTGCCCAGATAGTAAGATGAGCCAAATCAATCATCGTGGTCCACGGGGTTTCTGAGATTGCAGCCAGATTGCTCCAACACTATTCATTCACTCATTCATCTTGGATTTAGTGGGCACCTACACATGCTAAGTGGTGAAGGGAGGTGCCCAAGAAGTATACAGTATCACCTGTAGAAGCTTATAACCTGATTGGAATGGGAAAAAAAATGCTCACTCAAAAGAATATCAAAGGAGTATGCCATTCTGTGCTAAGATATAGTATCTCAATTTTCTTAATTACTTGTGAAGTTGAATAACCAATAGTTACTGCTTTAGGAATTCAGAAAAGGAGCTGGAAAAAAAAAATGACAGTCCCCTAGAGAAGGCAAGATTTGAATGGGTCCTGAATGAAAGACAGAATTTAAAAAAGAGTGGAGAGAGAATAGGTCGTCTGTTTTTGAGTTAAGACTGGGAAACTGACAAGCCTTATTTGAAACAGCCATAATGGTCTGAAGCCCAACCATCAAAGTTAAATGTGCCTGAGTTCAAATCCTGGCCCCACCATTTACTAGCTGAGATATCTTATATAAGTCAACATCTTTAAGCCCTGATTGCCCCATCTGTAAAATGGCGATGGAATTGCTGTGCAAAAAAACTATGCCTGACATACAGCTATGAAGATTACAGTTACTACTAATGCTTTTCCTCTTTTTAATCTTCATATTCTAGATTAATAGGCACTGAAGCTTAAATATTAGGGCTTGATCTTTTTACCATATGTAAAAGAGAGTCAAAGGTTTCTGGCCACAGATAATCAGTAACATCAGAGGTTATCTTTACCATTCTTTTGCCATTCTTTTGGAGGCATATTGCAGTGCTGTCAGTTACATTCTATCATCACCGTCCATGGTTAATGTATGCTTAGTTGATTACAGCCCTGTTCATTCTTGCTGCTCTGCAGTTAATTCCTACTTGCTTAGTGGCTGTGGACACTTCTCTGCCCTGGAGATTCTCTCTCAGGTTACACCCCACTTCACAGCATTGCTCCACGTGTCCCAGCTTGTTGGCAATCCTTCCTCACCCTACTCTGGCTGTTGCACATCACCTTTAAATCTCACAAGCAAACTCACATCTTCTTTGCTAAGGACATTCCTCAAAGGATGAGACCTATGAGATAGTCTGTACTCAAAGTTTCTGTGATCAAATGAGTTTGGGAAATGCTGCATTTATTACATCCTGAAGATTCTTGAAGCCTGGAAACGTACAAAACATGCACTAATGGTTGTGAGCAATCCCGTATTTAAGAAGCCTGTTTAACTTTGTCAGCATTTCCGAGACTTTTATCATTAAAGTCACTACTAAAACCGCCAATCTGTTAGTTTCACTGACATTTTTGTGAATACTGTTTATATTAACAAATATATTCTTCAATCTTTGATAAGGTGGTACTATTAGCCTCAAGTGAGAGGACTGGGCACCTAAGATTTCCCTCTGGCCTTTCTGGGTACAGAGAAAGCACTGAGATCATTTACCTGACATCTACTTATTTATTAAAGCTGAAAATAAAAAAATTCTAATGGAACTCATTTTTCCTTCAATTTGGGTGCTATGATAATTTATTCCAAATTTTGAAAACATGCTAAATGTTCTCCAATTCATTGGTACCCCCTTGTTTTACTTTTAAGGAATTCCAAGCTGAAACCTTTTCAGGCTCTCACAATTCTTTCAAGACAATTCTGAAGCGTTTGGGGACTGGGGATTATGCCAGTTAGTTCCTGGATCAGCAGAGGACAGATTAGCTTATTCCCAGCCCACTTAAAACCATCAGTCTTGATTAGTCAGTTTCCAATTTGATCTCTATTTTAATTTTCACTTTAATTTTTATACCTTCATTGGATAGTGTTGCTAGTTACCTTTTCTTATGAACACTAGAAACCAAGTGGGTATTGAAACACTAGCCTTTCCAGTCATGTTTCCTCTTTCCACAATTTGTAGTGTTATGTTTGTCCTACTGGATATCTTTCCAGCAACTTTATTCACTTATTGCGTTATTATCGTTTATTTACCTCATCGCTCAAACTTTGTTCATGAGAGTATTTCCACTAAAGAAAGGTAAGCTACAGAAATAAGATACTGTCTGTTGTCACTGATATGTCTCAAATATTTGGAACATTACCTGGCATAGACAGTGCACCCAATAAATGATGAATGAAGGAAGGAGGGAATAGATGTATGGATGACTTTCGCATCCATACATCTATTGTATGTATGGATACATACATTCACATGGAGCTGAAATTGTATTTTCAAGCACTTTTCAGTCTTATAAAAGCAGAGTAGGTGTTTATGGTGATGCCAGTCTTTGTACTAATATGCTCTAAAGCAGCCAGCACTGCTGTATGTCAAGTATATTGGCTTCTGGGGTTCTGATGAAAAACCAAAAATAAATTATTTTTAGAAAGATTAATTGACTTGACCCAGATTAAGCAGTTTTATCATAAATAAATCTGAATTCTGCCTCTGCCTCATGTTTAGTTAAACATTTTTCTGAACACTTAATGAAAGACACAAATGTATTCATTAGCATGTACTTCAGAGAGGGTAACATTTAAATGAAAGCAAAGTATCTATTTTCCCCTGTGAGCAAGGGCTGAAATTTGATCTTTAATGTAGAGTAACATTTTAATTCCAAAAAGTGATATTTACTTTAGAAATTTTCAGCCTTATAAAGGAAATGCTCAGATCATTCACAATAGAAAACATACAGTCAAACAGCTGGGAGAGGTTTAACCACAGAAGTGATTTTAAAAGTAAAATAAAATAACCTTTTTAAGCCTATAACACTGGCAAAAATGAAAAAAAAATGATGACACCCAGATTCTTCCATATACTGCTGATACGAGCAAAACTGCTTTTCTGCAGGGCAACTGGTCATATGAATCAAAAGCCTCATATCTTTAATACATCATCTGGCTGGGGAGTACACGTATAGAAATTATAATGATAACATAATCATGATTGTTTACAAAGGTTGATGTACTAGCAGGCTCAATGCATTCCTGTTTCTAGAAGTGAAGAATTGGAAACAACTTTTATGGCAAAGAGTATAATATTAGTCAAGTGAATCACGCTACATTTATTCCAGAGTAAACTTTACAACTAAAAGATAATGTTGTAGAAGTAAAGATCCAGAGAACAATGTTTAGGTTAGACTGTTTTTAATACAAATTTAAAGAAATATGTTTGGTACAATCACTTGAGAAAAATTAGAATATAAGAACACAGGTAGGTATATAAGAGAATAAAAATATGTAAGACTAAAGCTGATTTTCTTTTTATTTTATTTTTTAAAAAATTTTATTTATTTTTAAAATTTTTTTTGTAGAGATGGGGTCTTGCTTTGTTGCTGAGGCTGGTCTCAAACTCCCAGGGTGAAACGATCCTCCCAACGCAGCCTCTCAAAGTGCTGAGATTATAGGCATGAGCCACCATGACTGGCCCTGTTTTATCCCTTAAGATAATTTTTTATTTTGTATTTTTGTGTGTACTTAGTAGGTGTATATATTTATGGGATACATGAGATGTTCTGACCTAGGCATACAATGCATAATAATCCATCATGGAAAGTGGGGTATCATCCCCTTAAACATTTATCCTTTGCGTTACAAACAATCCAGTAATCCTTTAGTTATTTTAAAATGTACAATTAAATCATTATTGACTATAGTCACTCTGTCATACTATCAAATACTAGGCCTTATTCATTCATTCTAATTTTTTTTTATATTTTGCTTTTTAAAGAACAAACTGCAACTACTGCATCTAAAAATCAGATAGTTGTCTCTCCTTACAGTGTCTTTAATCACTTCATAAAGTATTGCCAATAACAAATTTTATCATTCAAAATATTCAGAAGGGATAATTATGAAACTGCTAAACTTCATTTAACCTATATTTATATCATATATTTTTAATTATTTAATTGTATATTTTAATTATTAATTGTATATTTAATTGCACATTATATATAACATTTTCAACTAATGAAATTCTCACTTCAAAAAACTAAAATGGATTTGGTTCATATTTGCAAGGAGAACTTAAGTATTTTGTTCCATTCTTTGAATAAGCATCCTTAGCTTCATACTTTTAGGAAGATGTTCTTATATGAAAACAAAAGTTCTTTAAAAAGGAACACAGATTAATTAGATCCCATTTGTCAATTTTGTCTTTTGTTGCCATTGCTTTTGGTGTTTTAGACATGAAGTCCTTGCCCATGCCTATGTCCTGAATGGTAATGCCTAGGTTTTCTTCTAGGGTTTTTATGGTTTTAGGTCTAATGTTTAAGTCTTTAATCCATCTTGAATTGATTTTTGTATAAGGTGTAAGGAAGGGATCCAGTTTCCGCTTTCTACATATGGCTAGCCAGTTTTCCCAGCACCATTTATTAAATAGGGAATCCTTTCCCCATTGCTTGTTTTTCTCAGGTTTGTCAAAGATCAGATAGTTGTAGATATGCGGCGTTATTTCTGAGGGCTCTGTTCTGTTCCATTGATCTATATCTCTGTTTTGGTACCAGTACCATGCTGTTTTGGTTACTGTAGCCTTGTAGTATAGTTTGAAGTCAGGTAGTGTGATGCCTCCAGCTTTGTTCTTTTGGCTTAGGATTGACTTGGCGATGCAGGCTCTTTTTTGGTTCCATATGAACTTTAAAGTAGTTTTTTCCAATTCTGTGAAGAAAGGCTTTGGTAGCTTGATGGGGATGGCATTGAATCTGTAAATTACCCTGGGCAGTATGGCCATTTTCACGATATTGATTGTTCCTACCCATGAGCATGGAATGTTCTTCCATTTGTTTGTATCCTCTTTTATTTCATTGAGCAGTGGTTTGTAGTTCTCCTTGAAGAGGTCCTTCCCATCCCTTGTAAGTTGGATTCCTAGGTATTTTATTCTCTTTGAAGCAATTGTGAATGGGAGTTCACTCATGATTTGGCTCTCTGTTTGTCTGTTATTGGTGTATAAGAATGCTTGTGATTTTTGTACATTGATTTTGTATCCTGAGACTTTGCTGAAGTTGCTTATCAGCTTAAGGAGATTTTGGCCTGAGACAATGGGGTTTTCTAGATATACGATCATGTCATCTGCAAACAGGGACAATTTGACTTCCTCTTTTCCTAATTGAATACCCTTTATTTCCTTCTCCTGCCTGATTGCCCTGGCCAGAACTTCCAACACTATGTTGAATAGGAGTGGTGAGAGAGGGCATCCCTGTCTTGTGCCAGTTTTCAAAGGGAATGCTTCCAGTTTTTGCCCATTCAGTATGATATTGGCTGTGGGTCTGTCATAGATAGCTCTTATTATTTTGAAATACGTCCCATCAATGCCTAATTTATTGAGAGTTTTTAGCATGAAGGGTTGTTGAATTTTGTCAAAGGCTTTTTCTGCATCTATTGAGATAATCATGTGGTTTTTGTCTTTGGCTCTGTTTATATGCTGGATTACATTTATTGATTTGCGTATATTGAACCAGCCTTGCATCCCAGGGATGAAGCCCACTTGATCATGGTGGATAAGCTTTTTGATGTGCCGCTGGATTCGTTTTGCCAGTATTTTATTGAGGATTTTTGCATCAATGTTTATCAAGGATATTGGTCTAAAATTCTCTTTTTTGGTTGTGTCTCTGCCTGGCTTCGGTATCAGAATGATGCTGGCCTCATAAAATGAGTTAGGGAGGATTCCCTCTTTTTCTATTGATTGGAATAGTTTCAGAAGGAATGGTACCAGTTCCTCCTTGTACCTCTGGTAGAATTCGGCTGTGAATCCATCTGGTCCTGGACTCTTTTTGGTTGGTAAACTATTGATTATCGCCACAATTTCAGCTCCTGTTATTGGTCTATTCAGAGATTCAACTTCTTCCTGGTTTAGTCTTGGGAGATTGTATGTGTCGAGGAATGTATCCATTTCTTCTAGATTTTCTAGTTTATTTGTGTAGAGGTGTTTGTAGTATTCTCTGATGGTAGTTTGTATTTCTGTGGGATCGGTGGTGATATCCCCTTTATCATTTTTTATCGCATCTATTTGATTCATCTCTCTTTTTTTCTTTATTAGTCTTGCTAGCGGTCTATCAATTTTGTTGATCCTTTCAAAAAACCAGCTCTTGGATTCATTAATTTTTTGAAGGGTTTTTTGTGTCTCTATTTCCTTCAGTTCTGCTCTGATTTTAGTTATTGCTTGCCTTCTGCTAGCTTTTGAATGTGTTTGCTCTTGCTTTTCTAGTTCTTTTAATTGTGATGTTAGGGTGTCAATTTTGGATCTTTCCTGCTTTCTCTTGTGGGCATTTAGTGCTATAAATTTCCCTCTACACACTGCTTTGAATGCGTCCCAGAGATTCTGGTATGTTGTGTCTTTGTTCTCGTTGGTTTCAAAGAACATCTTTATTTCTGCCTTCATTTCGTTATATACCCAGTAGTCATTCAGGAGCAGGTTGTTCAGTTTCCATGTAGTTGAGCGGTTTTGAGTGAGATTCTTAATCCTGAGTTCTAGTTTGATTGCACTGTGGTCTGAGAGATAGTTTGTTATAATTTGTGTTCTTTTACATTTGCTGAGGAGAGCTTTACTTCCAAGTATGTGGTCAATTTTGGAATAGGTGTGGTGTGGTGCCGAAAAAAATGTATATTCTGTTGATTTGGGGTGGAGAGTTCTGTAGATGTCTATTAGGTCCGCTTGGTGCAGAGCTGAGTTCAATTCCTGGGTATCCTTGTTGACTTTCTGTCTCGTTGATCTGTCTAATGTTGACAGTGGGGTGTTAAAGTCTCCCATTATTATACCATTTGACCCAGCCATCCCATTACTGGGTATATACCCAAAGGACTATAAAGCATGCTGCTATAAAGACACATGCACACGTATGTTTATTGCGGCATTATTCACAATAGCAAAGACTTGGAACCAAGCCAAATGTCCAATAATGATAGACTGGATTAAGAAAATGTGGCACATATACACCATGGAATACTATGCAGCCATAAAAAATGATGAGTTCATGTCCTTTGTAGGGACATGGATGAAATTGGAAATCATCATTCTCGGTAAACTATCGCAAGAACAGAAAACCAAACACCACATATTCTCACTCATAGGTGGGACTTGAACAATGAGATCACATGGACACAGGAAGGGGAATATCACACTCTGGGGACTGTTGTGGGGTTGGGGGAGGGGGGAGGGATAGCATCGGGAGATATACCTAATGCTAGATGACGAGTTGGTGGGTGCAGTGCACCAGCAGGGCACATGTATACATGTGTAACTAACCTGCACAATGTGCACATGTACCCTAAAACTTAAAGTATAATAAAAAAAAAAAAGAAAAAAAAAAAGGAACACAGAATTTCATTTAAATATGAACAATGGTTTAGGAAACAAAAGCAAGTGATAAGAAAAAGTTCATATCTGTCTTTATGAAATTGAGGCAGTAATTAATAGCCTACTAACCAAAAAAAAGCCCAGGACCAGACAAAGTCACAGCCGAACTCTACCAGAGGTACAAAGAGGAGCTGATACCATTCCTTCTGAAACTATTCCAAACAATAGAAAAAGAGGGAATCCTCCCTAACTCATGTTATGAGGCCAGCATCATCCTGATACCAAAGCCTGGCAGAGGCACAACCAAAGAAGAAAATTTCAGGCCAATATCCCTGAAGAACATCGATGCAAAAATCCTCAATAAAATACTGGCAAACCAAATCCAGCAGCACATCAAAAAGCTTATCCACCATGATCAAGTTGGCTTCATCCCTGGGATGCAAGGCTGGTTCAACATACGCAAATCAATTAATGTAATCCTTCACATAAACGGAACCAATGACAAAAACCACATGATTATCTCAACAGATGCAGAAAAGGCCTTTAATAAAATTCAACACTGCTTCAGGCTAAAAAGTCTCAATAAACTAGGTATTGATGGAATGTATCTCAAAATAATAAAAACGATTTATGACAAACCCACAGCTAATATCACACTGAATGGGCATAAGCTGGAAGCATTCCCTTTGAAAACTGGCACAAGACAAGGATGCCCTCTCTCACCACTCCTATTTAACATAGTATTGGAAGTTCTGGCCAGGGCAATCAGGCAAGAGAAAAAAATAAAGGGTATTGAACTAAGAAGACAGGAAGTCAAATTATCTCTGTTTGCAGATGATATGACTGTATATTTAGAAAACCCCATCGTCTCAGCCCAAAATCCCCTTAAGCTGATAAGCAAATTCAGCAAAGTCTCCAGATACAAAATCAATGTGCAAAAATCACAAGCATTCCTATACACCAGTAACAGACAGAGAGCCAAATCATGAGTGAACTCCCATTCACAATTGCTACAAAGGGAATAAAATACCTAGGAATCCAACTTACAAGGGATGTGAAGGACCTCTTCAAGGAGAACTACAAACCACTGCTCAAGGAAATAAGAGGGGAAACAAACAAATGGAAAAACATTCCATGCTTAGGGATAGGAAGAATCAATATAGTGAAAATGGCCATACTGCCCAAAGTAATTTATAGATTTAATGCTATCCCCATCAAGCTACCATTGACTTTCTTCACAGAATTAGGAAAAGCTACTTTAAATTTCATATGGAACCAAAAAGGAGCCCATATAGCCAAGACAGCCCTAAGCAAAAAGAACAAAGCTGGGGGCATCATGCTACCTGACTTCAAACTATACTACAAGGCTACAGTAACAAAAACAGCATGGTACTGGTACCAAAACAGATATATAGACCAATGGAACAGAATAGAGACCTCAGAAATAACATCACACATCTACAACCATCTGATCTATGACAGACCTGACAAAAACAAGCAATGGGGAAAGGATTCCCTATTTAATAAATGGTGTTGGGAAAATTGCTAGCCACACGCAGAAAACTGAAACTGGACTCCTTCCTTATATTTTTTACAAAAATTAACTCAAGATGGATTAAAGACTTAAAAATAATGCCTAAAACCATAAAAACCCTAGAAGAACACCTAGGCAATACCATTCAGCTCACAGGCATGGGCAAAGACTTCATGTCTAAAACACCAAAAGCAATGGCAACAAAAGCCAAAATTGACAAATGGGATCTAATTAAATTAAAGAGCTTCTGCACAGCAAAAGAAACTATCATCAGAGTGAACAGGCAACCTACAGAATGGGAACAAATTTTTGCAATCTATCCATCTGACAAAGGGCTAATATCCAGAATCTACAAGGAACTTAAACAAATTTACAAGTAAAAAACAACCCCATCAAAAAGTGGGTGAAGGATATGAACAGACACTTCTCAAAAGAAGACATTTATGCAGCCAACAAACATATGAAGAAAAGCTCATCATCACTGATCATTAGACAAATGCAAATCAAAACCACAATGAGATACCATCTCATGCCAGTTAGAATGGCAATCATTAAAAAGTCAGGAAACAACAGATGCTGGAGAAGATGTGGAGAAATAGGAATACTTTTACATTGTTGGTGGGAGTATAAATTAGTTCAGCCATTGTGGAAGACAGTGTGGTGATTCCTCAAGGATCCAGAACCAGAAATACCATTTGACCCAGCCATCCCATTACTGGGTATATACCCAAAGGATTATAAATCATGCTACTCTGAAGAGACATGTACACGTATGTTTATTGCGGCACTATTCACAATAGCAAAGACTTGGAACCAATCCAAATGCCCATCAAGGATAGACTGGATTAAGAAAATGTGGCACACATGCACCATGGAATACTATGCAGCCATAAAAAAGTATGAGTTCATGAACTTTGCAGGGACATGGATGAAGCTGGAAACCATCATTCTCAGCAAACTAACACAGGAACAGAAAACTAAATACCGCATGTTCTCACTCATAAGTGGCAGTTGAACAATGAGAACACATGGACACAGGGAGAGGAACATCACACACCAGGGCCTGTTGGGGGGTGGGAGCATAGGGGAGGGATAGTCTTAGGAGAAATACCTAATGTAGATGATGGGTTGATGGGTGAGCAAACCACCATGGCACGTGTGTGCCTATTTAACAAACCTGCATGTTCTCCACATGTATCCCAGTATAGTATAGTAAAAAAATAAAAAGTAAAAAGTAAAAGTATAGTAAAAAAATAAAAAGTAAAAAGTAAAAGTATAGTAAAAAAATAAAAAGTGAAAAAAAAAAGGCTTAGAATCCTAGATACAGAGCCTCAGTACAAAATAAAAAGAAGAAAGCACTTCATGTTCTAATCCAAGTTTTAAGAGGAGCCCAGAATATTTAAATTTTAAAGAATAGGGCAGTTTTTCCATTGACCAAAATTTCTAATCAGAGCACAGACAATGTTCTAAGTACACAGAGGTCAATTTAGTAAAAATCTGCGTGGGTTTGTTACTGGCAGAATATCATTGGTTAAGGTTTTCTAAACTTTATAGTTTTTTTGTATCTCTTCTGGGGAAATAGAGTCTTACATTTCTCTTAGAGACAGTGACATTTTAAATTAACTACATATTCCATTAAACATGCCCCCAGCTTGAGAAAATACACTCAGTGAAAAACTGCCTGGCAACATTTGAGACCATTTGTGGCCCCATTATTGACTTAAGGATATACCTATGAAATCCACAGGTTAACTTTTCTCCCAGCATTTCATAATACTTAACTTTAGGAGAATTTACTTATATTGACTGTTCAAGTCCACTACTAATTATAAGAAAAACTTGTAGGAGATGTAGAAGCTCATTTCTAATTATACTACCAACACTACCCTCTCCATGACTGCTACTATTACTAATGACACCACCAAATCCCTAGGCATTAGGGATGTTCTAGGCATTAGGTTAAGTGTTTTTATGTAAGAGGGATGATCCTTACTCCGAATGTTTTCCTGTTTCAGATGGGGGCATTTGAGAAAGTTGTACCTCTTATTCACTCATTCAATAACTTATAAAAGAGTGCAGCTAAGTTTATGGCATTTGTGAGCATTTAGTCATGGGAGGGGTATGACAGGGATGGCCTGGCATTTGCCACAACTTTTAGACAAGTCTAGAAACATATGAAGCATTATAAAAGTACAATTCCTACACAAAAGATATTGTTTTCCAATTAATAGTAGTAAGAATGAATACAAAGTCAAATTCTTCTTGAAAGTATGTTTCCTAGGGAATGCAAAAATACAGCAGGAGGAAAGGATAGATAGAGACTTACAGGGATATGAAAAGCATGTCCTTGACATAGAGAACCATTTTTACACCTTTGCTTCCAACTCAAATGGTTATTTTAATGAATTTTAAACAGAATCTGCCTTATTCCGCTACATCTGAAATATTGATCAAGTTATATTATAGTGATCTATATTTCTACATTTCAGTTACTACTACTAATAGTCTATAATTCACTTTAAATGTAGCAATCATCTAAAATATAATTACATGTTAAATTTTGGTTAATCCAAATGTTGGTTTTCTTAATGTTTTGAAAGAGGCCTGCCGTGGATGGAGGTGCTGGAAACTATCTGAAGTCTTTTACCACTAGAGATGTCTAAGAATTCAGCCTGAGTTCTGACAGGTAGGTTCTCTAAATTCAACTTTTCATCTATTCATCTCACTACAATTATATTCTGTGTAATATGTACACAGTGTTATAATCTGTGTACATATTATAATACAGTTATGTAGTTAAAACATATAACTATATACATTATAATACGTTTTATTTATTTATTTTTTGAGATGGAGTTTCACTCTCGTTGCCCAGGCTGGAGTGCAATGGCGTGATCTCCGCTCACCGCAAACTCCACCTCCCAGGTTCAAGCGATTCTCCTGCCTCAGCCTCCCAAGTAGCTGGGATTACAGGCATGGGCCACCACGCCCAGCTAATTTTGTATTTTTAGTAGAGACAGGGTTTCTCCATGTTGGTCAGGCTGGTCTCGAACTCCCGACCTCAGGTGATCTGCCCGCCTTGGCCCCCCAAAGGGCTGGGATTACAGGTGTAAGCCACTGTGCCCGGCCCTATAATATGTTTTAATGACATAATCATATTAAAATACTCTAACAAAAAATAAAAAGAACCTGTATCCCTTGTCAAACACTGAAAAATATATGATGGTCTCTTTCTCATAATTTTGGTGAGTTCTGCTTCTCTTTTCAGTCTTCAGGAGCTGTTTTAATTTATATATTTTTCCTTTCATACCAAACATGCCATAAACCAGAATTCCGTTTTCCATCACTGTTATCCTTTTCGATTTCAAAACTTGTAAATGTGATGTATCTTCTGATGTGATTATCATTGCTTGATGTATCTGGGGTACTGATTAATTTTAAACATATGTGAGTCTTTCAATATTTGCATGAAAATATTTGAGGAGAGCTCTCCTATGACTCAAATCATCTCTCTTTCAGGCATAATATCTTTATTCTTTCAACTGTTTTTTACTAAACATGGTTTCTAGGCCTCTCACCAATATCTGGATTGCATTCTATACTGTCTTTGTAGTTATTAAAATATTGTACCCATAATTGAATATGGAACTGTAAATGTGTTATGACCAGGCCAGAATAAAGTGGAGCTGTTTTCTCCTTTGATCTGAAAACACAGAACTAGCTCTGGGGATGGCCGTGTCAGGCAAGCAGCTAAGAACCAGGGGATTACTTCAATAGTTACTATCCCCACTCTCGTAAATCCTACACTTATACAATTAATCTTTTTTAACCTGACTTTAGGACATAACCTTTATCATTCACTATCCCATCTAAAATACCTTCACGTCCCCTCAGTCATTCTCTCTACCTGAATTTGGCTTTAGGAAAAAACATTTCTATTTGAATCTCTATCATGTGAAATTTTATTATTTATTCACTGTATACATCTTTACCATCTGTTTACATAACGAGAATGAAAACACTGTAAGACTGCAGCCTTTGTCTTATTTACCTGGGATGTTGCCTGGCATACAGTAAGTGTCAATAAATCCTTGTTGAATGAATGCATCATTCTTTATTAAATTCTATCTTCTTCAATTCTGGAGAAATCATCTGAATGCTAATTCTGTCAATCTATCACCCAATTCTCTAAGACGGTATTTCTTGAAAATTTGTGAAGAGTGCCTTTTCCTTCTTTACTCTTCTTTGACTTTAAGGAAAAAATCCTGTTTTGTAAAGAAAAATTAACTAAGACTGAAAGAGGTCTGTTTGCTTTGTATAACAGACAGGGAAGTATACAAATATTAAGTTAGATATGTGCCAAATTACCTATATCCAATCTTCATCAAATTCTGTTGAGTTTTATCAGAACACAATAAAGATGTCGTTTTATGGTATATGTTATTTAATTTTCTCCAAGGTGACAATGAGACATTAATTAGCACATTTCAGGAAGGGACATTTTAATGCTGTGTCTACCTCTGTATGTAATTTGACCCATAAGTCTCAATAAGAAAACAAATGGAAATACTTTTATAAACATCAACATAACCTATATGTAAAACATTTTCCTGACTTAGCAGTTTAGAAATCCCATCAAAAAGGAAAGGAGACACCAGTTATTTCAAGGACTCCATTGAGATTGCTGGTGACCACCACATTTTTTTTTTTTTAATTTCACAAACATGGAAATCTGATGATCAGCATTGAGATTACCAGTTGTTTCTGGAATTCATTATCTTTCTGAAAATTGATCATTTGCTTCCTTGTCTTCCAGTGTGAGGCCTACTCTTCATAATTTCTGATGATCAGGGACGGCCACTTTATAATCACAAGCCTTTTAGTGCACAGGGATGTAAATTGTCTAGTTTTCCATTGCCTGGCAGCCATGCTTTTTTGGTTTGACCATCATTCTCTCCTATGTATGAGGATAATACTAACACAGGAACTGAGTGGCTTTGCTTTCCACCTGACATCTAGCAGGGGTTTAAAACAATGGGCCACCTCGCACACTTTCTTTTTCATGCTTTAAAAATAGCTTGGCTGTCTAACTTTTACTAGGTTTTGCAAGTCTCCTCTCATGCAGCTGTTTACCTCTTCCTGCATATATTATTTCAGATTTTTACTACGTGTGTGCGTGTGTGCGTGTGTATATATATGTGTGTGTGTGTGTATGTGTATATACACACACAGTAAAAATGTACATATATGTATATATTTTAATCATTTGCTTCTCTCTTCCTCTTTTCTACATAGCCGAGGTTATCAGTGAGTTCTTGAGGCAGCCACATGAGTGTCTTCAGATGCCTCTTCCCTTTCTTCCTCCCTGAGATAAGTTATCATAATGTCAGAATTTCCTTTTGGTAGTTTTTCCTTAACTCTTGAGCTTTTCTTTCCTGTTGGGGTTCTAATCTAGGTACAGGCAGCAAGCACCATTTCTTTCATTTATTTACCACATCTCCAGTGTTTAATGCACTTCCCGGCACACAGTAGGCACTTAATAAACATTTACTTAATGAAAGAACATTCTCTATAATTCCTTTATTTTGACTTACTAGAGCTTAAAGTATATAGCTGACTTCATCTTTGTATACTTGTCTATTATACAAATAGACACTTTCTTACAATATTACCATTAATTTTTCTTTACAAAACAGGTTCTTTTCTTTAAGTCAAAGTTGTATCCCAAACAGTAATATCCAATTCAGCTTTTAACTATATTCAGAGGTACTACTTATTGGTGGACAATAAAAGAAATCCATGGATATAAATAAAAATAGTAAAATATATTTTATATATTAATACAAACCAGCATCACACTTATTAGAATATACAATTTTATAAAAATTATCCTATGTATTCAGTCTTTATTATCAATAATTCATATAGAAGTACCTCACTATATGAATATAATCTTAAAAAGAAAGTATTAGAGCAGTAGAATGGGGCTTTTTTCATGCTCATCTTTGAGCTGATACTAGAAATGTACTGTCTAAGAGGAATATCTGACATATATAAAAGGTTTCATATTCAAAATGTATCTCAAATATTTACCTTTGTAGATGTGAGAACTCAGTTGGCTTATAAATTACTTCAATTGTGGGTGTCTAAAAACATTTCCTAATTTAAAAAAATTAGAGCAAGTAACTAACAGAAAATAAAACTGGTGAATCACTAATCTTGAAAGGAAGTCAGCCAACCTATTTATCGTCTTGATTTTAGGGAGAGTTTTTCAGGACACATGCTCTTTCTTAAAAGACTATGAGACATGGAATGTTAACAATCTTCATTGTCAGGAAACTTCCTAAAATTTCGTCTGAATGCCTCATGCATCACTTTAAGCTCATTTCCTCTTACTGAACAGGGCAGCTGGCCAGCATCTTCCATTTGCACTGCCCTTAGCCTTCTCCAAACTGTGTTATAGAACACCCTTCTGAAATGGGCGTGGGAGGCCAATGTGAAACAGGATAGAAAACTCTAAAAACAGTATCTTGTGAGAAACAGCATTTTAAACTTAACTCTGAATGGGGCTACAGAGTAGGTCAACAAAGGGGGCCAACAAACTGAAGTGCTATCTTTTGAATAATTCAGACTAATTCTCAAACAGTATTATGGGGTCATAAAACACCAAGCCTGGAAATTAAAGATTTTTATGCCTCATCAAAAAGTCTTTGAATGTAACTTCCTGGCATACTGCCAACAAGGGCAGCTCTTTGGGGGAAAACCCTATGCCAAAGGCCAAAGAGGCAGCTGTGTTATTCAGCTCCTGAGAGCTTCCAACTCAACACCCACACAAGCTCAATTATGAACAAATTAAAGGAGTCCAGACTGAACACAGTAATTCTGGTAATTTAAATAAATAGGGAAAAGTCTACAATTAGTAGGAAAAGATTGATTTTCTCCAAAACCCAGAAGTATCCACTCTCCAGTCTCTTAAGTGACACCCTAACCCCTTTGAATTAGCATGACTACATGCAATTATTTAAAAACAAATTTCCTTTTATTTATCATGTTAATCATTTCTGTTCTGATTTAAATGTGACCACATGCATGCCAGTAAAAGTATCCACAAAATCCCAAGGCAAAGCAGCCTCAAAAGGGCTACATATACATTATACTTATAATGTATATATAGGAATTAATGACACTGAGTAAAATTGTTATCAGAGTTGTACACCTACATTTTAGAGCATATAATGTGTTAACCATCTCAAGAAGTGTTTAATATACATATCTGTAGTTAATCAATAAACATTTTTGCAAGTAAAGAGAAAAATTTAGAGTCATTGAAAAAGAATCGAAGATTTAATATTGGGGAATCTATTAATTAACTCACTTTTATTTCACTAATAGAATAAAGAACAAAATCCACATTATCAGCCAGTAAGGGCCTTAAAATCACTTACTAAAATTAAACATTCATTCTTGATTAAAAAAAATAAATGATTTAATCAAAAAACTTTTAGGAAGTTAGGAATGCAAAGAAACTTATGTAGCTTGATCAAATGTTTCCATCAGAAGCCAATAGCAAACATTATAATTAATGTGCATGCTCTCTCTCTCTCTCTCTCACACACACACACACACACACACACACACACACACACACACACCCCCCCCCCACAGTGGAAGCATTCCTGTTTCATCTTTAAACTCATTTTGATTAGCTGATTGTACAGTCCATGCAGGAGAATGAGTACATATGAAGAGCCAAAGTAATTTCACAAAGGAAGAAAAATTAAAGGAAGATTATCCTGTAAGTAATCAAAACAAGACATAATAGCAAGATAATTTAAATGGGGTGATGCTGACATGAGATGGACTAATATATCAACAGAATAGTATGTCTAGAAACCCACACATCTATGTGTGCAAATTTACTATTCAATGTGACTAAATTTCAAATTAATAGGGAAAGAACGGAGAAGTCAATACATGTTATTAATAATTTGCTTATTTATGTGAGAAAATTCTTCCATCTCATACCCCATGGATAAAAATATATGATAGAGTCCTAAATATTTTTAAAGCCTCTAAAAGTACCAGAGGAAAATGAGATAAACATATAACCCAAATGTCACAAAAGAAGAAATGATGAAAATATTTGAGAATAAGACTGAAACCTTTTTTATGATGAGAAATATCACAATCAAACTAAAAAGACAAATAATGGGTTGCAAAAAAATCACTTGCATCCCATGTAACAATATTTTATAAATGAAAGAGGACAAAATTAACAAATGGTAACGTGGCAAAGGCTATAAATAAACAAATTGCAAAATCTTAAACACAAACGACTCAAAAACCCACCAAAACAACAACAAAAGAACTGCCAATGAAGCCCACATTCCATTAAAAGGGGAAGAGTAAAGTAAGCTGTAAATGAAGATTAATGAATGTAACACTATGCAACTATTATAAAGAAATGATATGTGATGTGGACATGTACATAGATGGGGAAGCAACTAGTGCTTTCTAGGAGCACTCACATTTTAGACTATATTTGTGTCTGATGAATAGGTAAAAGGGATGGGAATAAGGAGGCTTTATTTTTTCTTAATTGGAATTGTCTGTCTTTGAAAATATAAGTGAAAATAAGTAAATGGAAGCCACTCACCTTTAAAATAGCTTGAGCAGATGAACAATGACTCATTAACATGCAAGTTAAAATACTAGTTTGGTCTTAGTAGCAAATATGAAACAAAAACAAGGCTACTGATAGGATCCATCAGCCTTTGAAGATTCCTACAGACTTTATAAAGTGAGAAATAGCCAATATAAATTAATTATGTAACAAATAGAAGGTTTTTTTTTTAAATTTTGAACCATATGAAAATGCTGGTTTTCCAGGTCAAAAATAGACATCATGAATTGTGTATTCATCCTAAATAGGCTACTTATTAAGACGTTTTAAAGAATGTTAAAACGCTTTAAAGAATCAAGATCCTGCTAGGATTATTCCTATAAACATAGTCACCTACTTTTTGAGCAAATAAATTAATCTCTTACATTGGCCTAGTGCTATAAATGGAAAACGAATAGTCTATTCCTCTAATGAAACAGAAAAGACACTTTCAAATGTTTACCATTGCGGTATCACCTAAGTGAATTTCATATTGAGAAGGCTAACACATTTGTTAGGCTCCCTGACTTGACTGTTCTGGGGAGAAGGGATCAAAATGGTACTAGAATGCTGACTCTCAGGGCCTTCTGAAAGACTGTTGGCTTTAGCCTGGTACTTCTTGGAAAGGAGCAAAGTTTGATGATTACTCTAAACTTGTTTTTACAGCATGCTGTTGAGTATTTCCACTGCATGGTGCATTTTAGCCAATGCTTTTAGTTTGGTACTAGGGTCCTGAAGAAAATAGCTCGTAACCTGACCAATTTTGTAAAATGAATAAACCTTACTATTATCGTTGTCATTTATGGCATATGTATAAAAAAATGCAAAGAATGACGGCTAACTACATATATTTTGCTAGGACTATTTCAGTTTAGAAGAGAAAACTCAAAAAACAGTTTTTGGTAATAAAAATGTAAACAAAACGGCTGGATGCGGTGGCTCACGCCTGTAATCCCAGCACTTTGGGAGGCCAAGGTGGGTGGATCACTTGAGGTCAGGAGTTCGAGAACACCCCGGCCAACATGGAGAAACCCCATCTCTACTAAAAATACAAAAAAAAAAAAAAAAAAAATTAGCCTGGCGTGGTGGCAGACACCTGTAATCCAAGCTACTTGCGAGGCTGAGGTAGGAGAATCACTTGAACCCAGGGGGCGGAGGTTGCAGTGAGCCGAGATCGCACTACTGCACTCCATCCTGGGTGACAGAGCGAGACTCCATCTCAAAATAAAAATAATAATAATAATAAAATTAAAATGTAAACAAAAATATTGATTCTGCACATGTCTTTGGTTTTATTTTTTACAGGTTTCATAATATTTTTTCTCTCTTAATTTAAAATGGGTGCTGTTTTTTCTTTTTAGAAACATAATAGTGGCTGCTTTAATTAAATGAGGAAAACAAATATATTTCTCTCCTCAAAAATAAGAGCAGTTTTGATCCATTCATCTTCTTTACAGAGAAATTGGGAAGACAGAACAGGAAATGTTTATCAAGCACTCTATGAAAATGAACTGCTCTTTAAATAATTAGTAATAACCTATGTCACTGTCACAAATTATTCCTTTGGTTTGTCAAAGGTTCACGCTTGAGAAAATACTCTTTCTGACCAGTGCTCAAGACAGCTTCCTTGTTAAGGTTTCTATCTGTCTCTCACTACAGGCGATTACAGCAAATGCATCCCAGTCATTTAGTTAATTTATACAAAATAGAATCAATTTCTCTTGTTTCATCATGACTGAACATTTTTCTGAACTCCTGTAAGTGAGTAACAGAAAAGCACTATTTATCAGATCGTTTGGTGGAGCACGCACTTTTGATTATTCTATTTTCTCGTTGTTACTAAAGAAATATATAATATGCCTTGAGAAAAAACAATTGCAAAGCTTGGCCTCCAAGCATTCATGAGGCAATGGATATTTTGCTGAGAATTTATTGTATCCATACTTTTCTCTAATGGTGTTCTCTCTAAGAGCCCATGGGAGGGCAGTGATGCTCTAGGGTATCTGAGATGTCCCAAGGCTTTCAGAACACAGTTAACAGGGGCCCTTGCTCTGCCCTGGCACCCAACAGTCACCACGAAGTTCCCCATGGTGCTCAGAACCTCAGTGAGGTTGTTCAGGCATGGACACAGGGTACCTTGACACCCTCAGTGTGGCACGCCCAAGAGACCCTTTTCCCCTCCAGTGTCACAGGATTTGGGGATGGGCATTTAAAAAGCTGAATCTTCTGCACTGATGCCATCTCTATCCATCACACATGGAGAAGAATAGAAGGAAGTGAAGCACTAAGGCAAAGGATGCTTTGAACCACATGATTTTCCCAGGCTCTGCAACAGGTATGCCCGCACAGAGTGGAAATGCCCTGGCAGAAGCGAGGGTGCAAATGCAAAGGCAGATGGATGAGATAAAGATGCCTCTGGAATTCAGATCCTCCAGAAGGAATCATTTTTGTCATCTATGATGGGAGGATAGTTTATAGATCACTTTGTAAAAATAAATCACTTCTCTTTGTTTCACAAAGTGGGTAATTACAATTAAATGTGCGAAGAGATAGGAAGGTGGGATGGCCATTATCCCTTCCTCCAGGCTTCTGCAGACCTTGTTCCCTGAGGTTTGAGTTGAAGAAACAAAACCAGGACATTTGGGAAGATAAATGGGCTGAGGCTGGAGAGCTGACCTGGATGTCACCTCACCCTTGCTTACCAAGGTCCATGCTCTTCGAGGCTTTCAAATTAATTGATTCAGGCTGCCTGGCCGGTGTCACAGATCTGAAGTTGATGTGCTGATCTGGAAAATATACTGCTGAATCCACCCCAGAGCTGTGGAAGGAAGCCATATGTTGTATTTAGGTTTAGAATAAAATCTTTTAAAAAATGAGGAAGCAGTTCTCATTTTGAACACAGCCACTCATCACTCTGCGCAGCTCCCAACCACATATTTTCAACTAATTCTTAAATCTCAGGTTTCTTTTATGAGATGTAGCAACTCTGTTTTCATGTATTTTATCACACTGTACAATTTAAATAAAATATTCTCTGGGCAATATCGTGTTTTACTCTTCACTGATTTCTGCTAATTGGGATCCTGCTGTACACTATATAACTTTAAGTGGGTAAAGAGGGCCTGGAAAACACTAGCACTTCAAAAGATGTCACTGGATATTAGCAGAGCCCAAAAGCAGGTTAAGGGATTTCTGTGGACTAAGCTATGCCTATTTTAAAACACAAGTGAAAGGGTTGTATCCTTTAGAGAAAACCATCCTGTTGAATGACTGATGCCTGTAGGAGTTTGGTTTTCTACTTTATTTAGGTCTTTTTCCTAAAACTAATGTTAACACTAAGCAGACAGTCTGCTCACCAAAAGTGCCAAAAGGAAATAATAGGAAGAGCACAGTTGACAATTAAGACACAAGATACATCAAATGCCCATTATAGTTTTCTTAGTACTTGTAGGCAATCTCAAATAACTTTCCTTCTGCTGAATATTTTATTTATTTTGCTTGAGGATAGAGGGTATTACATAAGAGAATTACAGACAATGACTTAGTTCTTGTTTTAGAAATAAATTTATATAATTTTAATAAACTAAATTATAGCCATTTTCTTACCTTGGCACTCTCATCTGTTTGGAAAGTAAATATGGTGGCTCATCTCATTATAATTGCTATTCTAATCCCAAATATAGTGAAAATCCAAATCATGTATCCTTACAAAATCTAAAGTATTGATGTTGGGTTTTTCAAACAGTTGGAGTTTGATACTATAAACAACAAAACAATAGCAAAAATAACTGTTTTGAAAGAAAATCCTTCTAAAATGTACAAGAGAATCTCGACCTGAAATACCAAAATAAGTTTAATCTTTTCTTGAAACTCATCATCCCTCCATATTCAATACTGCTTTCAAGCAATATTAAAATTAGTATGCAGCAATAATAGTATTGCCAAATGAATAAATGAACCTCCCTTTTTATAATGCCGTGGGTAAATTAAGGAAGTACCTGTTTAGCCAGGTGTGGTGGCATGCACCTGTAGTCCCAGTTACTTGGGAGTCTGAGGCTGGAGGATCACTTGAGTCTAGGAGTTTGAGGCTGCAGTGAGCTAAGATTGCACCTCTTCCCTCCAGCTTGGGTGACAAAGGTAGACCTCATCTCCTCCACCCTCCCCCAGAAAGGAAGTACCCATCAACCAGCACAGCACTGTGGTGTGTCTGGCCCACTCTAAATCCTGGCTCCGGTACTTACTAGCAGTGTCAACTAAGAGACTTACTGGACCTCTCTGGGCTTCAATTTCCTTATGTATAAAATGAGTAAAATTACACTCTCTACCTCACAAGGTTGTTGAGAGAATAGAATGAGTGAAGATTTGTAAAGTAAGGACATTAGGGTCTGGTACAGAGTATGTGCTATAGAAACAGATAAATTAGGTAAGTTAACAAATAAGCAGATCAGTAAAATGTCCTACTTTTGCTTCCCAAAACACTATAAATTTCTGAGTTTTTCCCATTACCTGTGCTTTTTACAGTTTCTTTGACATCTCTGTTTTTGTCAGACTCTCAGCAAGTCTGTGACTAGGAGCCCTTTTCTCTTTCTATTTAGAAGGGTGATGTGGTTTGATGGTTAGGAGAGTGGCCCCTGTAGGAAAATGTCAGGGTGAGTGGCCTCAGTTTCCTCATCCATAAAATGGATAAGAATAGAATTTATGACTCTTTAAAATTTTTGTAAGATACGTAAGTTACGTTATATATTGAGAAAAGTACCTAGCACACAGTAAGAGCTTGATCAACCTGAGCTATTAAGAATCCTTTTCTTTATTTCTGTAGGTTAGTATGGTCTTCGAATGAGGGCCTAAGGCATTTGCCAATGAAGAGATTTCACATGTTTTCATAAAAATTTCTCAAGAAGTTTAAATCCTCTCTTTAGGGTTATGTAGCCTTTTTTTTTTTTTTTTCTATTTCTTTCCTGGTGTCTGGGTACATTCTCAATACACGAAGCCATTGATATATAAAGTGTATTAGATATGGTATCTAGTAATGACAAAATATGCCAATTGTGAACAAAAATCCTGGACCCACTTAGTGTTATTGACACTAGCCTGGCCTAATAGCAATACTTTCATTTTTTCAGCCCATTTTATAGAAGAATTCTGAGACACTACTGCAAACATGAGCTTTCCCCTGAGTCTTGGTGTTTGGAAGCACTTGCCTTTAAATGTGTTATTCGACCTTTATTTGCACTTAAGTTTTCCATCCTTTGATCTGTTGTGATGATGTGGGTTTAGTGTCAGAAAGACTCATGGCCTTCATAGAATCAAAAAGTTTAAGAGCCAGAAGGGATTAAAGGTCACCTCATCTCTCAGATAAGACCCTGAGGCTCAAAGAGGAGAGTTGGCATTGCCAGGTCACACAGCTGGCCAGGGGCAAAGCTGGGACCAGAGCCAGAAGATCTGGCTGAAATGGTGGCCAGCCTGGGACACAGGTTGTTGCTGATCCCGAATCCGCAAAAATCAAGCCTTTCACTTTTAGTGAAGACTTGCTCACCTTTTACTATGTGGCTTACATTTTAGGTTTGCTTTTTGTTTCAATAGAATGGTGCACATCATGCAATAATAGAAAACTAAATCCTTAATCAAAGCAGTGAAAGCCTCCAGGGAGGAGGTGTAGGACCCTCATTAAAACATAGATCAGATTGCATTTAAAGTGCTCTGCTCAAGGCAGACTGAGAATCTACCCAACTGAACAATGTGTTGGTGAACCTGACTCATTGTCTTAGTTTATCCTCTTAAGCCAGGTGTTAATTCACAAATTAGGAATAAGAGCTCAAATTTTCCCAGACTCTTAGGTAGCAATGATCCCAATCCCCGTTTAAAAAGTAAGGTGGCAATGACACTCGATGCAGTAACATCAAGCTAGGATCTGTCTAATAAAGTGAACTTTTATACAAATGTTGGCATATAATCAAGAAGGATCAAAGAAATAAAAGGCTGCACTGTACATATGAATGTAACAAATGCTCTTATGTACACATCTGATTATGTCCTTTAAATTGATCATAATGAGATATCTACATATCTATCTATATACATACACATATATGTTACCATCATTTTGATTGTGACCAAGTGTACACTTTGAAAACGTTTCATAAAAGGGCCCCCCCTTTGCTGCGGTACAAAATGGAAATAAGGCAAATAAGGCTGATATCAGATTGATGGATATTAAGGAGGCAAGTGAGTGTAATATAAGTCATAGGATTAGAGCCAATGTGGGCATATAGAGCACCAGAATAATGAGTGAGTGCCGTATTGAGTTAGTTCATGTGAAAATATTTTAGACATGTAAGTTAGACTAGTAAAACGGTTTGTAACTTTACGCTACATATCTCGAGTGTTTGCATTAAGAGGGTGACACAATGATTAACTATGAAATACAACATTTTAATTTTGAAGGGAGTTAGCATGTGCTCATGGCTGAGTGGGCTGCAGTGAAGGCTGTTGGAAGCTGGAAGTTGACAGCAGGCCAAAGACATGTCTTAGATAAAGGCCGTGTTTTCAGCATGAACGACCAGAGAATCTACCAAATAGAAACGATACTCAACGTCAAATTATGCTGCCTAATGAATAAGTAAGGGTAGCATGAAACATATGCCAGTGTTTGACTATGGTGACAAACCAGGAATGTAAAAGATGTATAAGAGCCAACAATGAATGTTCAAGAACTGTCTGAGGTGAAAAGGTGGGGGATGAAGATTTTGAGAGGCAAGACAAAAACCATGATGTCTGAAGTCTCAGGTGTCCACAGATGGACTTCAACAATTGGCTTCTATGAGTGAGAGTAGTTTCAGGTATGTGCATGAAGAAACAGACAGAGAGAGAGAGAGAAAGAGAATATGAACATGTGGGGAATAGCCCAATGTTGTCTAAACTGTTAATAATATTCGATATATTCTGTCTGCTGCTGATTTAGCTTCAACTCTGCCTGAGATCTCACAGTAAGTTTATTTCCTTTATATTTATTTATTACTTAGACCCACATATTATAAACTTTTCTGTAATAATCATTGCATAATAGTAAAAATAGGTTGAGCAATTTCCTGATTTCATTTTGTACAGGCATTAAGTTTGATCAAATTTGTTTTTCTTTCCTCACGCCATAGCAGTTTTCTCTTTTACAAGATTAGCCTCATCCCTCCAACACCCTTTTTTCCTTTGAGAGGGCTTTTCCTTTTTTTTTTTTTTTTTTTTGAAAGGCAGAAGGCAGGAGAGCCTTTCTTGCTCAATCCTCCTGGCTCCCTTCCAGTCCTTCCTCCATCCCAAGTTTCACACATCCAACCCCTGCTGCTGCTGGTCACCTAGGCAACGCAGCAGCTTGCAGGATGGTGCAGGTCACACGATCCTAGGAGGGGAGAGTTTCAAGGCTTAAGACTTGTTCCTTCCATTTTTAAAATATCTCTGCCCTTTCTTCTCCACCCATGCTTCTGATCCCTCCATCCAGGCCCTGCTCTTCTCTTGCTAGTCCCAAGTCGGAGCAGCCTCCTTGTCTATGGCGGCTTCTGCCATTCCCTCCACCCTCCATCACTGAAACTGCTCTGCCTGATACTGTCATCTCCAGGCTCAAAGCGCTTCAATGCTTCTCCACTGCTCTCCGGAGAAGCATGGCACCCATGGAGCAGGACAGACAATGCCCTTCCCATTGATTCTTCCCTGAGATACCACAAGCTTTAGCCACACTGAACACACTCTGCATTCTTTCCCATCCCTGGTTTCCTTAACCTAAATTGCCCTTCCCGCCACTTCTCTGTCTAGAGAGCTTTCTTCCGTTTTCCAAGAAACTGCTTAAACACTGCTCTCCTGTGAAAACTTACTTGACAACTCCAGGCAAAGTTAGTGGCTTCTTCCTCTAGGCTCCCATTGCATTTTGTATCTAATGCTTAGCTGGCTGCATCCTAATTATCTGCGTGTCTGTCTCTAAGAGGACGCTGCATTTCTTGCAGGCAGGGATGCTTTCCAATCCATTTGAGTTCTTTCTACAGTGTCTGGCTCAGAGCTCCAGAAATACTTTTGAATGGATGAGTAAGTGAATAAATGACTTAATAACCAAATACTGCAGAGTGGAAAAGAAGAATGAAGTCTAAGACAACGTCATACTTTTGACTGAAAGGAGATTACCGTTGATGATTAAGAGAGCAGTTCTAATAAAGAAGTGAGAACAGAGGCCTAAAACACACGGGACTAGGAAGGAAGACGTGAAAAGAAGATGGAAGTTACTAGTTCATACCATGTAATGAAGATTTACAGCAGCGAGGAGCAATATAAACTTTTTTCTCTCCCCAATTCACAAAGGAATGGCTTTGCAGAAAAGGGAAGGAAAGAAATCCGTGGAGACTTTGAAGCCAAAAAGACAGTTGCTAAATCCCAGGTGATCTCTGAACCACCTCTCTCCCTTGAAGGTTTCTCATCTGAGTGCTTCTCTCTAGCCTCCCCTGCACAGATGCTCAGTACCTCTGACTGCAGTTGCCCTAAAAGGTATCCAAAGAGTCCTGGCTTCCAGGGGATATCAAACCTCTTCCATTCACCCAATCCATGTTATACACACACAAAAAACCCAGGTTTCATTCTGTGTATTACCTGCGAAAACCCTGCAATAAGATTGACTATCTACCAAATGAAGTCTGCATACCTTATTCTTGCACTCTGGGCTTTATCATCTGGCTGATCAGCTCCACCTTGTACAATTCAATTTACTCTCCCGTCTCTATGCTGTTTCTTCTGCTGCTCTTCCCTCCCGAAATGCCCTTTCTTCCTGGGCTCATCTCATGTCCACCTGCTATTCATGAGTTAGGGTTCAGCTCAAATGACACTTTTACCATAGTATTTTCCCTGATTCCTTTATCTGGAGGCATTCTCCTCTGCCTCAGATGCTCAGAGCATTTTATCTATACCTTCTGGTAAATATCACTTGGAACCCTTGTGTTCCAGTCGTCCCATGAGCCTACCTGTCAGCCTACCAGCTTCCTGAAGACAGGGTTTATATCTGATTCAGCTTTGCACCATCCCAAACATTTTGCACATATATACAGGATAAACAGTAAGGTAGAACAAATGAAATTATGTTTTAAATGGCTTTTTTTATGCCACCAAATTGTCATTTTCAATTCAGAATCGAGGCAGGCAATGGAAATGAATGGACAAAATTAAATAGGTCCACATTTTCTTTTATGAAACCCCTAGAGACATTGATCTAGAATATTATTATGATTATCAATCTAGTTCACGAAACTGTAGTTAGCAAGATAACTGACTTCAAAAGTATAAGAATCAGAGATAGCTAAATATAGGTGAGCTTCCACCTAATACAGTTAGCTATACTCTAAGGCATGCTGCTTTATTTTTAGCAGACTGTATTAAAAAACATAATAGGAATGACACTAGCATTGCTGCAAGAAAAATGAAGAAATTTCACAGGATTATCATGGGACACAGAATGGAATAAAATACACAGTTTCTAACAGCCATAGTAAATATAGAAAATAGCAAAGGGACAATTTAATGATTTTTAAAACTCATCAGAAGAACAAAATCTATGAATTCCCCTTGTCAAATAGTATGTATGCTTAGTAAATCTCTCTCATTCTTGTGTGATTCTAAAAATTATTGATTTTTTTAGTTTCTATTACAGAATGGATATAATATTGGGTACCCTCTTCAATATTTTAGATTATATATGGTGTTGCTTTAATTTTTAGATTCCATTAACTTTCTTGGAACATCTATTTTTAAAATACCTCTAGGGTTTGCCAATTACTAATAAAAACCCATAAGCTTCCTATTTTCTCAGTTTTGTTTTATACCTTCCCATGTCACTTTTCTTTGAGCTCCATGGCTCTAGTTTTTAAATTTGTAAATGAAAGTTCAACCATTTTCTTAAATATTTTAATAATTTAAGGTGAATCTTAACAAATACCAGGAAGCAAAATATGCCCAATCTAAGCTATTAGCTATGAGAAACTTTCACTGAAGCTTTCGCTGGAAAGGAATTATAGATACTATAAGATTTCCATTCCAGAAAGAAATAGAGTTAAAATAAGTTTGCTGAATAAGGTTGCTGTGTTCTCCCAGAAAAACAATAACAAGGAGCATTTACGATACATCATTTTATCAATACCTGTGGCTGTAATCTTCGAGGCCCAATCCCAGAGCAGAATGTGGTGTTGGAGAAGGTGGAACTTCACTCTCGGCCCATCCGTCATTGGGCAGCAATAGACCTATAAACAAAGAACAAATGAAGCTGTATAAAGTGGAAGCAGAACCATTCGATGCCTGGTTTGGTTTCAGTATCTCTCTCAGACGCAGTTTTAGCCAACACATAAACCAGCCCTGAAATAAATAAGTTCTCATACAGAACTGAAGGATCCTTATGAGAATGAATACTGCTTGTATGAGGAAATCTAAGCCTGCTAATATGTTTTTACACTGGTGACCTGCAGGCAACCCCTAGCAAACCCACTCCACAGATCTTGACTACCTTTTCCCACCAACAAAAGGCTGACACATACTCATTACCTGTGATTTGTGGAAGATTAACAAAGTCATCTGTTTTATGCCTTAATATTTTTGTAAACAAGTCTCTATAGTGAATACTCTGGATTATATGGTGATTAAAGCATTTGCTTCAGTAGCAAAAACTTCTTTTAAAAAATCACGATATAGTATATCTGTCCACCATTTAGACATAGTGGAGATAAACACACACACACACACACACAAACACACAAACGTGCGCTCTTTTTTTCTATCTGTGCCATAATGGAGACATCTGAGTTTAAGGCCTTATAAGGAAAAGACAGGGGTCTAAATCCTGGTTTTCCCATCTACTAAAAATGTATACTTTTCCAGTTTGTTCTGTACTATAAGAATAGACATGTATCTCTAATATCACCACAACTAACAAGTAAGGTTGTTGAGATCTTATTATACAGCAGACATTATATTAAGCCTTGTATATTATTTCATTGAATGCTCATAATTACTAACCATATTCCCTAGTGTATGAAAAGCATTATATAACATCGTGGTAAAGTGCATGGTTTTTGGAGCAAGACTGCCATGTTTCCAACCCTACTGCTGTGTGAACTTGGCAAATTACTCAACTTCTCCAAGCCTCAGTTTTTAAAGCCATCAAGTGGCAACAAGAATACCTTTACTGGAGGAATATGAGAATTAAATTTTATTTATATATATATATATGTGTGTGTGTGTGTATATATTTATTATTATTATTATTTTTGAGATGGAGTCTCGCTCTGCCACCCAGGCTGGAGTGCAGTGGCACGATCTTGGCTCACTGCAAGCTCTGCCTCCTGGGTTCACGCCATTCTCCTGCCTCAGCCTCCCGAATAGCTGGAACTACAGGCGCTCGCCACCACGCCTGGCTAATTTTTTGTATTTTTAGTAGAGATGGGGTTTCACCGTGTTAGCCAGGATGGTCTTGATCTCCTGACCTCATGATCCACTCATCTCCGCCTCCCAAAGTGCTGGGATTACAGGCGTGAGCCACCGCGCCGGGCCAAACTAAATTATATTTAAGCAGTGATTTGTAAATGCATACTGTTAAGTAAACAGAGGATTATTATTCCATAGATTGTAAGTTCTACTTGTATCTATTACAGTGACATATTTGATAAGATATGTACCTGATTTGTCCCTGAATGACAGAATAAGGGACAAATATCTCTACCCTTGAGAACTGCTGTTGGTGATAAAACCTGCTTTGGCTTGTCCACGTGCTGGATATGATGGTTAATTTTATATGTCAATCTCACTGGGCCACAGGGTACCTAGATATTATTCTGGGAGTTTCTGTGAGGGTGTTTTTAAACAAGATTCACATTTAAATAAGTAGACTGTCCCCTCTAATGGGGTGGGCCTTGTCTAATCACGTGAAGGCATGAATAGAACAAAAAAGATTGCCTCTCTCCTGAATAAGAGAGAATTCCCCGACTGAGTGACTTTGACATGGGACATTGGCTTTTTTCTATCTTCAGACCCAAACGGAAACATCAGTTCTTCCTGAGTCTCAAGCCCGTTTGTCTTCAGACTGAAACCACGCCACCAGCTTTTCTGGTTCTCCGGCCTTCAGACTCAATCTGCACCATCAACTCTTCTGCAACCCCAGCTTGCTGACTCATCCTGCAGATCCTGGGATGTGCCTGTCTCCATGGCCATGTGAGCCAATTCCTTATCATAAATCTGTTCACACACACACACACACACACACACACACACACACACACACACAACTTGGTTCTGTTTCTCTGCAGAACCCTGAGAAATACACAAGGCAAGGACTTGCTCCAAGCTCTGCCCCAGGCACTAGACTGATGTGGAGGTAGTTGTAGCACAGCTGACATGCCCCTGGGGATGAAGCTTGAAGCAGACCTGCTAAGTAGGTGACCAGGGGGAAAGAAGCACAAAGGCAGCGCCTGCACTGTGCCCCTGCACCACCTCCAACCCTAGGGGCCCATTGATTTGTTAGTGGTGGCAGCAGTCAGGCATTCAAGACTTGCTAAGAGAAACAGAACAGAAGGACTGTAATGTAAATTGGGGACAATGGACATCCTGGGACAACTTCCTTTCTGTTGGCTCTCATCTTCTATCCTCAACCTCTCAGTCCATCTTCCACAGTGATGGTGAACGTATTTGTGATCATGTAACTTGTTGCTCAAAATCACTTCAGCTGCACACATTGCCTACGGAATAAAGGTCTATGATCCTGGCAAACAACTTTATCTCCCATTACCCGTTAGCTTACCATTCCCTGCCAACACCCCTGGGTGTTCCTGCCTCAGTATCTTTGCTTATGTAACTGCAAAACCTACTCTACCTGTCAAAATCCTACCCTTCTCCCAAGGTCCACCCAAATATCACTTTTACTATGAAGCCTTCGCTGTTGCCAAGGATCTGTCACTTTTATAACAGTGGCCAAGAAGACCAGTGCCCACTCTATCCGTGCTCTTCCTCTCTTCCTGGGCATACGGCTGGACACCATTGCTAGGGCCTCTTTGTCCCTAGACTAGTTCTTGCAAATGGAATGTGGGCTGCTATGATAAATGTCATTCCCAGTCTCAGTGGTTATGAGAGGGTGCAGCTTCCTCACTCTCTCTTCCTTTCCCCATCTACATCACCTGAAAGCCAGGTGACGAGGTGCCCAGCCACCAGTGGAAGGAGCCTAGGTCCTGTAATCACTGCATGGAGCACAGCTGCCAAACCTCATTGTGCAGTGACAGGACCAGGAAATAGACTTTCACTGTCTTTATCTATCCAGTGACACTTTAGGTTTATCTATTACTTAATATTATGTAAAGTAATTCTTGGATAGCATTTATCAAATGCCACTTTTGCAATGAACTATGTATGTATTTATTGTTCTATCAAGCTATTATCTATTTATCTATGTCTATTTCTTTTACTAGACTGTAGATAACTTTCTCCTCGTGTTCCTCTTTCTCGTTTTTCCATGTCTTCTACAGTCTCTTCTCTAGCTAGTTTTATTACAATCATTAAATTTAATTTTTATTACACTCATGTGAACCATTTATCGTTCTTTATGTGTTTATGTGTTTTTCAGTGTTTTTTTTTAAAGTGGTGATCGGTGTAGAGGTAAGTACCTTGTTTGTTGAGGTAAGTATCTTATTTGTTGACTCTCTATCCTTGTTACTTTTTTTTTTTTCTTTTTTTGAGACAGAGTCTCACTCTGTCACCCAGGCTGGAGTGCAGTGGTGCGATCTTGGCTCACTGCAAACTCCGCCTCCCGGGTTCAAGCCATTCTCCTGCCTCAGCCTCCCGCGTAGCTGGGACTACAGGCACCTGCCACCAAGCCCAGCTAATTTTTTGTATTTTAAGTAGAGAAGGGATTTCACTGTGTTAGCCAGGATGATCTTGATCTCCTGACCTCGTGATCTGCCTGCCTTGGCCTCCCAAAGTGCTGGGATTACAGGCGTAAGCCACCACACCCGGCCCCTTGTTACATTTTTTAAACAACATATTCAGATGCTGTAAGGAATTTTTATTTTCTTCTGGGCCCAGACACCTTTGTTAAGCCCTTGTTTCAGTGTAAAAGTCTGGAACTCTTATCTCCTATAATAATATTTCTGGATTTCATTGAGTGTACGAGGTACAGTCTTCTTGATGGTCATTTCGTATATATCTATGCCTGTAAATGTTGACACAGCACTCCCTGTAGTCATTACTTCATTGATGGCCAAATGGCTCTTCTTTTTAATTATCATCTTTTGTTGTTATTTGTGTTGTGGGATCTATCCTACCAAGGCCACATCAGAAAAGAATGAGTAAAAGAGATTGTAACTTTAGACAACAGGTCAGCAAGCTATGGCCCTGGTCCAAAACCAGCTTGCCACCTGCCTTTGCAAATAAAGTTTTACTGAATAGCCATGCCTATTTGTTTATGTATTGTCCATGAGTGCTTCTGCTCTACGATGGCAGAATTGAGTGATGACAGAGACCTACAGTCCAAAACCTGAAATATTTACTATCTTGCACTTTAAGGACAAAGTTTTTTGACTCCTGCTTCAGACTATTCTTAAGGACAATAATACTACTGCATTCACCACTCCTGATAGTGTATTCTGCACAATGGAGGTATCCAATAAACATTAGCCAAATTGAAACGTATAATTCAATCTTGGATAGTCATTCCAGACGTAGTGCTTTACATGCTATAGAGGGGTAGATACATGCTGGTCCCCAGAAAGATACACATTAGAAATAATTCTACTATGATGTGTCTCAGAGGACCCCAGGGAATACGGATCCAGAGAGACAGGTCACAGAACCACCACATTTGATTTGAGATGGAGATGAAAGGCCTAACCCAGTGGGTGATGCTGGGCAGATTTGGGGGCAGTGGGTGCCTAAGACAGGAGTGCACTTGAGCTGAAAAAGGAGAAGCAGGAAAAGAGCTATATAGGGGAGACAAGTGCAGTGAAATGAGAGGTAATGCTAACCAGAGGCAAACTGCATGAGGCTATTCCTCGGCCCAGGGTAAGATCTGCCAGCAAGATTCCTCAGAAAATACAGTGTTGGTGCATTTCATTACCATTCAAATGCTTAACAGGATTTTATAGGAAGCCCCTGGGACACAGCCTCCATCCCTATTACCATCTTGAAGCACCACACTTATTTCACTACCGGCATTGCTAGCAATTCTTCAGTACAAATGTGAATTTTCTGGTATTACGATTTCTATAAACATTAGTTCTAAAAATGCCTTTTTTCTGTGTAACAGCTTGACAGGAATAAAAAAAATAAAAACCAAGAACTGTGGGTGGTATGTACTATTATTACAAAAATAAATGGAACACAGAATATCAACATTGGATTCTTAAATATACAAAGGAAAGGAAAAAGGAAAGAAAAAAAAAAAAGCCAATGTTTTGGCTGTAACAGCTCCTCTCCTCACTAGACATTACATTTTGTCAAGTTAATCTTGTTTTTCTAAAGAAGATCCTTAAAAAAACTGGTAGTGGCAATCAACATTCAGGTTTTATAAGCCTTAGTGGCCTGTTACCACCTGACATGGATCTGAAACTCAGGAACTCCCAATAGTTCCCTAAATATAAAATGCCATTAATATTACAAAGACGTGATGGCCATGATACTCTTTTATAGCATCATGTTTATATATTCTGCTATAATTTTTTGGTCTCTAAATCAATAGACTTACATAAAAAGTAAGAAAATTTCATCTACTGGCCTCTAACAATGAAAATGTAATAAGTCTGTGTTTTGATAGGCCTAAATTTTATAATCTAGTATGGTAGCACAGATCCACAAAGAAAATATAATAATAGATTTTCTCTACTTTTGAAAAAATAATGTTTAATGGAGTCACTTTGGAAGAAAGAGAAACAGGAAACTTGTAGATAGTTAATTTATATATTTTTTTCACTGATGTAAAAATTGTTCTAACTAAATCTACGTCCTGGGAAGAAAAGAAGAGACAAAATCTCCCAGTGGTTGTCTGAGGCCACTTGTGCCCAAAGGACTCTATTTGTACAGAAGATATACAAAGTCTGAACATTCTATTGAAATTCCAAACCAAATGATTATTGTATTGTATTTTTTAGCATGCACTTGGAGTGGATTTTCTTATTTTTTGTTTTCTGGATGTATCCTTACACATTAACTACTTCTATGGTTTCATTAGTTTAGCCTTTGCTATTCTTTGCAGAGATATTATTCCATTTACTTAAGTATCTCAATGTCTTCAGAAAATACATCTTGTGTCACTTAAGGAGGATATATTCTGAGAAAAGCTTCGTTAGGCAATTTTGTCCTTGCATCAACATCATAGTGTACTTACTCAAACCTAGAAGGATTAGCTTACTCTGGTAAGCTCTGTGGTATAGCCTATTGCTCCTAGGCTACAATCCTGTATAGCATTTACTGAATACTACAGGCAATTACAACACAATGGTATTTGTGTATGTAAACAGAAAAGCTACAGTGAAAATCCAGTATAAAAGATAAAAATTGGTACACCTGCATAGGACACTTACCATGAATGGAGCTTGCAGGACTGGCAGTTGCTCTGGGTGAGTCAGTGAGTGAGGATGAGTAAATCTGAAGGCCTAAAACACTACTGTACACTACTATAGACATTACAGACACAAGGCACTTAGGCTACACTACATTTCTAAAAAATATTTTCTTTCTTCAATCTCAGTAACTTTGTTACTTTATAAATTTTAATTTAACTTTTTGAATCTTTTTAATAACAGCTTAAAACACAAACACATTGTACAGCTGTAGAAACATATTTTTTCTTTATATCTTTATTCTATAAGCTTTTTCTATTATACTTTTTCTTTTAACCTTTTAAACTTTTTTGGTAAAACCTGAGACACAAACACACATTAGCCTAGGCCTAGATAGGGTCAGGATCATCAATATTACTGTCTTCCCCCTTCATATCTTATCCCACTGGAAGGTCTTCAGGGGCAGTAACAGGCACAGAGCTGTCATTTCCTATGGTAACAATGCCTTCTTCTGGATACCTCCTAAAGGAACTGCCTGAGGCTGTTTACAGTTACCTTTTTTAAAAAATAAGTAGAAGTGTACTCTAAAATGATGATAAAAATTATAGTATAGCATTAGGAATTTTTCAGCTCCATTAAAATCTTATGGGACCACCATGATATATGTGGTCTGTTGTTGACCAAAATGTCATTATGTGGCACATAACTGTATTTTATAGACATTAAAAACAAAAGGTACTTAGTGTTCATTTAGATGTCACTGGTGTAACTAGGAATTAAACTCTAGACTTAGACAGACACTGGGCCACACGTTGCTAGAGAATTAAATGCCAATCAAGTTACATGAAATCTAGATATTTTAATACAAATGTCCACATTCGTGATCATAAGGTAGAAAGAAGACTGTTTTATTTTGCAGAAAACTTGCCATTCCTTTCCCAGGCTCTTTTGCTACTGCAATTTAAGATTTCAGAAGGCAATCTTGTTCTGTCAAGAAAATTTTTAATTTCTTTTTTTTCTTTGAAACAGAGTCTCCTTGCTCTGTCGCCCAGAGTACAGTGGCACGATCTTGGCTCACTGCAAGCTCCGCCTCCTGGGTTTACACCATTCTCCTGCCTCAGCCTCCCGAGTAGCTGGGACTACAGGTGCCTGCCACCATAATTTCTTTAAGATGAGAAAAGACATACTGAGTATTTTTTTTTTATCTGTATACTAAGTAAAGTCAGCTTCTTCTTTTTTTTTTCCCCCCCCATAGTAGCTGGGATTACAGGCATGTGCTATCACATCAGACTAATTTTTTTTTTTTTTTTTTTTTTTTTTTTTTTTTTTAGTACAGATGGGATTTTGCCATGTTGGGCTGGCTGGTCTCGAACTTCCGACCTTAGGTGATCTGCCTGCCTCGGCCTCCCAAAGTGCTGGGATTACAGGCGTGAGCCACTGTGCCCGGTCTAAAGTCAGCTTCTAATGGGCATTCTCAGTAGGTGAAAGGACTCCAATAGTTTCAATAGACCAATATAAGTCAGACCCATGCTGTGGTTTGGAAGACAAACTGAGGACAGGGAGACAGGAATTGAATCCAGACTGTGCATGTATCAAATATGCATTTGTGAGTAAATTATTTACTGACTTTCTAGACCTTCATTTGTAAAATGAAGATAACATTATCCACTTTGAGTCTGCAGGCAAATTGCTCAACACAGTATCTAACAGACAGTAAACACTTAATAAATGATAGCAGCTGTTGCTACTACTCTTGCTAAAATGGAGGAATTCTGTGGAAAAAACAACATCCCATTCTAATGAGATAATTTAATTCTAGAGCCACCTCAGATTTACAAGTATGTTATGATGGAGTAATTTCACAGCTTGGAACTTCTTTCCACATAGTTAAATTATGATAACACTTAAGTGTTCAAAATATAGGGACTGATTACATAATATATGGTACTTACCTTCAAAAGACACTATGCAACTACTGAATGTGATATTGTAGAAGAATATTCAATGACTAAGAGGCATATAATGTGCTATTAATTTTAAAAAGAAATTTCCTAAACATTACATACATTTCATTATTTCATTTTTTGTATAAAATATTTTCATTAAAAAGTCCTGAAAGATATACATAAAATGTTACTGATTAGGATCTTTGATAGAAGTATAAGTAAAATTAAATTTTCTTTTTATTTCTTTTCTCTAAATTTTCTGCAATGAATATGTATTGTTTTTGTAATAAAAAATTCATTTTATTAAAGAAAAGAGATACAGGGAGATAAAACAATTTTCTTGGTGACCTGAAGTATATTTTTTAAAAGACAAAGAGGAAAACCCAGATTTTTTTACATCTGGAGTCAGCTAGAAATGGGATCCACATTAGATAATAAGGCAAAACAGTGTAGCAAGACAATAACAAGAACATTCCAACCATCACGAGATGGTTTCAGGTTAGGATATTCACCCATTTATCATACTCATATTAGAATCGAGGATCATCTGTGAATCACGCTATGACCATTTTATGGATTATAAATCCATACATTTTTAAATTTTGGTAGTTATTTATTTATACTTGGTAACTTCCAGTATTAGAAGAGCTTAAAAATAACAGTTTGCCATCTTTGATTCTCCAGTGATCGTTTGTTTTATATATAACCCTCCATGTTTGGGGCAGCAAGCACAGAAAGTGTCACTTAAACTAGAGACATTGCCAGGAATCTGATTCACAAGTTCTGAGTCAGCTCTCCCCCAACTCTCTCAGTGTTTGTGACTCCGAGTAACAAAGTCTGCACTTAGTCTAATTAACTCCCCTTTACTCTTTTTTTTTTTTTTTAGATAAAAAGACACTTTTGTGTTTTCTCACTCCATTTGCAGTGGATAAAATGAATAGACTCTTACCTTTCTGTTTGTCTTGTGGACTGCAAGTGCCAAGTGGATGCAGGATACTATTATCATTTCGCCTAGAGGTGGTTACAGCATTTTGACAGTTCTCAAAGCATGGCTTGGAAAATGCCCCACACTCTGCAGGATCCTAAGAGATAAAAGTAAAAATTACATTTGCATTTTTAATATGTTCCAACTTGGTCAGTTGAAGCAAAGTGAAAGAATGATCGCTGTATGAATAGTCTTTCAAGAGTCTATTACACTTAAGTCCTCAACTGTGGAAACTCAAAATGGCCCTATCAGTGAAAACATCTTTGAGTCTAAAATAAAAAGTACTGACACTGTGGTGCTAAGGATTAGGAGTGCTGATAGCCAACACAAAAGAGGATTAACTTTATTATTCTCTTTTCCCACTTATAACTGGCTTCTTTCAAATTTTCTTCCATCTGGGGAATACAGCTTGTGGCAGTGTCAACACAAGAATACAGTTCATGCCAAGGGTGTTTCTCTGCCAACCAGCTGGTTCCTCTCTCTCTCTGCGCCTAAGTGCATATGCTCTAGGACAAGTCAGAATTCAAGCAGGTTCGCCTCTGAAATACCACCAGTGTGTCTCTGTGCAGATACTAGGTCTTTGGCCAGGAGCTAAATCAAACCGCTGTGACGCCAGACAGCAGTTCTCCTGAGGGTTCCCCCCCTATATTTCCCCTTCCTATTTTGATTTTTACAGTCTGTAAACACATTCACAGTTTTCTGAAAACTGCTGTATCCAGAGTAACACCCCTACGATCCATCTTCCACAGGTGCTGAAGAAGGAATTATTGGAGGAGGCTGATGATAGAGAACTCTTAACTATTTTTTTTTCCAAAAAGGTTGGAGCAAAGAGAATTAGGGTATGCTCTTGTTCGTATTATTTGTCTCAATAACAGATTTTAAGGAGGTAAATGATTTGGAAGCCATCTCATGGCTGTTCCCTTGACCATTTGTGAGAAGAATGTACCACAAACAGCAGCACCCATCTGATTCCCAGAGCTCTTCTGAGTATAGCATTTGGCTAAAACAAAGCATTGGATTTATATTTTCCTCTTTGGTTATAAAAATTCAGTGTTGAGCTAGTCACACAAAATATCTAAAACATTCCATTTATGCATTCTTAATAATTAAAATGTTTTCAGCTGCTGAAGGTCCTTTAGCTTTTTGTCAAGGCTTGTAACACTTTTCCCACACCCAGTGTATTACCCTTTCTTCTGAACTGCTAGTCAAACTGAGCCTGGTATAGGAGGTAAGCTAGTCCTAAATTAAAGCTGGAGCTGCAGCAGGAAAGAGAGCTAGGGCTTGCTTTGCTCAGCCTTGTGCTTTGATTTAACAATAACAACAAGAACAAAAAATTTTTTTCTGCTTCCCCAGCTCTTTGATAAATGACACAATCGATATCCCAACAACTGATCAGTAACCAGCCTAATTAAAGTATTCAGCCTGTAAAATAGAGCCGTCGCAGAGCCCTCCATTAGTGTCCCAGCCAATAAAAAATATAATGGATTTTTAAACATATTCTGCTTTTGCCACGATGAGCTGGCAGCAGGGAGGGAAATGTTTTGGGGAAAGGAAAAACAAAATCAGGTCATAACCCATTTTTTAATACCAAGTCTCTAGGCTCAAATAGAATTACAATTGAACCTCAAGCTCATCCTTTGAAAAATATGTTTCTGTTTAAAACAATTTTGATTCAATCAAGGGCTCATTATGTATTCTTCACAAGGTCCTCATCAAAACTGTTTACATATCTTGTACATCTGGGTAATGCGGGAAAAATCCCAACAACTATATATTTTGACTTTTCTTAAGTAGCTTCTTCAATTTTTGAGATATCAATATAATGTTCAAGCAACCATTTTGGTATTCCTGGCAAATCTAACTAATTGATTTGCCTGAATGTATCAACAGTGCTGAGACCTTTTTCTAGGTTATGGATACTTTTTATTGTACTGGAGGGCAAGTGCTGTTCCACCAGAGAATACAGCAAAAACATGAGCACACAAAATATGCTCTGACACAGTGAAACACAGATTTGAAGATCAAACAGTTGCAATTTTTTTCAATTTAATAAAGATAAACTGTACATTAGTCTTCTGTCTTTATAAGAAACAATGCTCTTTAATCTTCATGGGTACCGCAGAGATGCTCAGTAGCCGAGAGTCAAGTGCCTGCTCATTCCCCATGGAAAGCATGTAAATATTAGGGAAACTAAAAATGGATCTTGTTTAAACGTCCTCATAGAAATTGCTTTTTGACCCAGTTCTTATTCTTGATCAATTCCCTGGTGATCTACATTAACATGGCACTTCTGATGGCGGGCAACAAATGAGAGTTTCATACTTTCTTCTGATGGAATAACGCCAATCTACCCAGAGTGTGAGAATTAAAATGAAAATACCTGCAGTAAAGGGGAATGCAAATAGTAAAGTGTGCCAACTCGATGAGCCAAAATATATAACGCCTATCTGCTGTCATCTACTAACTCTTTTAGAACCATAGTCATTTCTTTTTTAACTTTTGCTATCTGCACAGGTATGTTATGCTACAGCAGTTTTTTCTAGACTCTTCTATTAGTTGAGGTATCTTTGTTTAAAAAGTCTTAAGGGAGATCTGATATGCAGATGCACAGAAGGGATGACTCAGGCGTTCGCAGTCCATCCTTTCAACTCTCTCCAATAAACGGGTTCCATGGAGTCCTAGGGCTCTAGAGTAAGAACTATCCTAAACCAGATGGGGCCAATTCTCTCAGGGCAGGAAGTGGCAGATAAGGGTGTTATAACTAGGTACATAAGTAAAGCCCATTAAATATTTATGGAACACTGTCACTTAAGCAGACACAAATGTTGAAAATAAGTTCATTATATTTAGTCTCCAGTAATTGGCCAATTTAAATTTATTTAACATCTGCGAGCTTATATAAAGGAGAGCATAAAAGGTATAGCTACTCCTTGCCCGTAGCTGATAATAGAATAAAGTAAGATAGAGTATATAACTTTACTACTCAAGTTTACTCTCTGAGATGAAGTAAGTCTCAGATGTGACATTTTCATTCACTCAATATTTATCAAGCATCTACTACATGCGGAAACCAAGGACACATTAAGGGATAAAACAGACAGCAATATCTGTCATCTATGAATACCAAGCACTAAATTATGTATGTACTTACATAGCCAGGAAATAGCAAATCTAGGATTGAAACCCAAGCAATTCGAAACTCCAGAGCTGAAGCTTTTAACTACAATGAGCCCCACTACCATTAACTCTTGATTAACTTGATAAAGCTTTCATTTTTCAATTATTACGCTGAACTCTTTATTAAAACTAGTACTTTATATTAGCTTTTTAAATAGTTTTTTAAATTTTGTATATTATTTTATTACACAAACACAATTTGGCCTTAGAGAATATCCTGATATGACAAAATGTGTGATTTGCTGATGTTTTTCTAAACTTTCAGTACTATTAACTTTTTCTTCTTAGCTTTTTCTAAAATTATTTTATGAGCATTTAATAATTATTCTTCATATAAGAGAAAATAATGTTTTAGGTATTTTTATGTTTATATGTATAATGTTAGGAATATTATTATTAAAGCTATCATACACTTAGACTCCATGTGTAAGTGAAAATATTCTTGATATTTTAAAAAACTTATAAAAAATAATAAAAGATTTCAAAAAACAAGACTCCCATTTATTTAATAACATGAGCAAGCAGCTTGTTTAATAAATCAAATGTTAAATTAGTTAAGTCTCAGGTCTGCATTATTTATATGCAGATTATGGAAGAGAATACAGAGAGCTGACTGCATTACAATGATCTCCACATTAAACATTGTACACATGTGATTAGACACTTTCTAAGGTATGGACACTGCTAGCATATCAACCAAAAAAGTATATAAAGATGTTTATGAACAAGTTCAGAGCTCTTGGAATTTCTGGGGGAAAAAACTAGAAATTATAGACCTGTTACATCTGATAAATGACTTACTTTATATGCACATTTTTACACCTTTCTATTATACCTAAAATACACAACCACCTGTTTCCCATCAAAGCCCTTCTGGGGCATATTTTCTCGATATGAATCTAGCTGCCATACTAGGAATGGAAGTCTGCATATTCTGGTGGCAATTTGGGCAACTGGCTGAGGAGAATCAAGATTTGCATCACCTCCATTGGTCTCTCTGGCCTCCTCAGAATCACCAACTGGATCATCCCTCGGATGTTTCCCTCCATGGACATTGACCGCCTAAGTGTTTCCATAGCTTCGTGGTTGGACTTTCCCAAAAGAGATTCCCCATTAACTGCAATCAGCTGGTCATTCATTCGCAGACGACCATCCTAAGGCAGAAGAAAGGAAAACAATATTCAACAGAGAAAAGTATGGTGATGACATGTGGCGTTTTGGGGAAAAGTTCAAGTTTAAAAATGAAAAAAAGAAAAAAAGAAAACCTAGCTGTTAGAAGTGATTTATTTTCCATGGCAGAAAAAGGCTCTGGAGCTTATCAAATAGTCACAAATACCAGTGATAATGAATTGTGTGAAAGTATTTTTTAGAAATCTTAGAGTCCTGAGCTGCAATAATTTAGACATTTGTATAATGCCTCTTACCTAAATCTTTGGCAAGCATGCTAATCTGACCTGATTCTGCCATTTGCTCTGGCGGAGACCATGTTGTTGACTCAAGGGAAGGGGGTTTGGAAACCAAAGGAGGTAGTCACAACTCTTGAAAGGAGAATTTGCCTTTTCAGGCACAAAGAGGCATCATGCATAAATGCTGTGTGCTTGACAGTAGTAATGTATCTCCTGATATCATTGCTAGCTCTACTGAACAGTACTAAAAAAAAACAACCACATAATTTTGTCTAACACAACCACAAAGTTGCTCGTCTGCCAAAGAACACAGAGGTGTGTAGAAAAGGGCCAGTTCGCCCTGATATTTTCTGGTGGAAAAGCTTGACAAAAAGAATTGTCAAGGTTTTTTCAAAGAGGCTCTGATGAATGAGTACTTTCAACCAGCATCTTCAGGAAGAAATACCACTTACTACAAAGCACAAAGAACCTCGGCATATGAATACACAGCCCAGACTGTGGTCTCATTCACTTTTGAGTGAATGAGGCACTGACCATCTCCAGCCAGAAGTCCCTCATAAGCAGAGGCCTAGATCAGTGGCTGACACACTGGGATGCCTGCTCTGCCTAGAACAGAACTTGAAGGGACCACAGTGCATTTCCCCAAAGGCAGCCCAGGAGCAAAGATGCTTGAAATGTTGACAGCCAGACTCAGGGGATATGCTCTCTACCTATTCTACACTCAGGTAGAAAGTGCTTGCTATAAAGCACAGCTGTGATTACGAATGTTATCATGCTGCTGCTGCTGCTGCTGCTAATAAAGTCAACAGAATTAACAGCAGGTGTGTAACAGTTTACCCTTACAGAGAATTCTTCCATAAATTACCTCTAGTGATTCTCACAGAACCTAAGAATTTAAGATTTATATTTTCAGAAACATTTTACAGAAAAGGAAACTGAGGCACAAAATGTAACTTGTTCCAGGCCACGAAAGTGAGTCAAAGGTTCCCATGAATCTTGACTCTTTAGTTCTTCCACGACAATTCCCTTTGTTTCTTGTCTCTAGACTACAACTGCACAACACAAAAATAGGGAAAGGAAAATATTAAAGAGTTCTAGTGGTGAGAAGTATCTGGGATTTGTGGTCAAATTAACAGAATGAAATGTAAAAGAAAAAAAAAGTAAAAGAAAAAAAAAAGAAATGAGATAGCCAGACACACACAATGAACAATAGAAACCAACCAGACAGCTTTGGGAGGGAAACTGTGCAGACGGGTCGTTAAACTCGGACTAATGCAGTAGCAGATGGCCCGAGGAAGTCCCTCTGCTGATAGTGGAGAAAAGGGAGGGCATGGTGAGAGCTGCTGTTCCCCAGAGCCAATGCCCTGGTGAAGACACACTGCCCACGCCGCCTGCTGGAGAGGGTGTTAGCCACGTGGGATTGCAGGGGCCGCCCATAGGAGGACACACCCACTCGGGGAAGAAATGGAGATGGCAGGGTAATGGGATCAATAGACAAAGGCGTCAAGTCAGAGATGTAAACCGTTTAAGTGGACCGCCTCCTCAGAGCTTAATGTCCCCTGCCTTCCTCTTGTTTTCCCATTTCACTTAACCTTTACCCTAATTTGAAGCAAGTCTGGAAATGAGATTTACAGGAAAGGCCAAACAAGAAAGAAATCTCTTCATTTCTGTTATCCAATTTTGAGTGAGGCACAAAAAAGCATAAGGCTACATGAAATGGGATATGACGGGCTGGGCACGGTGGCTCACACCTGTAACCCCAGCACTCTGGGAGGCCGAGGTGGGCGGATCCCCTGAGGTCAGGAGTTCGAGACCAGTCTGACCAACATGGAGAAACCCCGTCTCTACTTAAAATACAAAATTAGCTGGGCGCGGTGGTGCATGCCTGTAATCCCAGCTACTCGGGAGGCTGAGGCAGGAGAATCGCTTGAACCGAGGAGGCGGAGGTTGCAGTGAGGCAAGATGGCGCCACTGCACTCCAACCTGGGCAACAATAGCGAAACTCCATCTCCAAAAAAAAAAAAAAAGGGTGGGGGGAACAACAAAAACACCCTGAATGGTTTCGTTATGTGATGTGAGATATAACTGGAGAAATATTTCTGCTCTATTGTCATATAAGAAAGGAGAACCATTGGGCTGAATCTTGTTACTAAAAATCGTTTTAGGATGACTGGAGACTGATGTGTGGTTTTTAAAGAGGAGGAGGAAGCAGAAGAGTTGAATCCAGTTCCTGGTCCTAGTCCTGTTAACAGGAAATGAGGTTAACAGGAAATGTTGAGATTTTGCAGTGCTTTGTCTTGGCAGGACACCTCATCTGCTACGACAGGAAGAAACAAGATAAAGATGGAAGCTTTATGGGAACCTCTAGAGATGGAGGGAAGGAAATATGAGTGAGATCCCACCTGGTAATCTCTTGTGAACCTTTTCTGTGAAGTATGAGACAACGTCAGAGTGAAGAGGTAGATAACAGACAAGAAGATAGGAGAACTTTTGGTAAAATCTATCAACAGTTACTAAGCACAAACTTTTTATTTTTTATTTTTTTATTTTCAGTTACATTCTAAATCTCAAGCATGCAGAATGACACTGAAGTAGGGCATGTTTCCTGTAACCAAGTCCCAAACAAAAAGACAGTTCAGGTCACCTCAGGGCAGCTGAAATTTTTTTTCAAAGACATTCACATTCATCACAAGCATCACCAGAGAGTTGTGGGTGCAATAAAAATCCACACACTCTCACTGTCAGGCTTGGCTGGTCTGTTGTTATTGGTGTGTGCTTTTTCTTTATAAGATAAATGATGTGTAATTTCATTAATGGCGATGCCAGTAAGCACCATGTTGTCCTAACATTTAGAATATAATCACTGAATTTAGAGCTGGAAGGGTCCTTAGAGGTCATCTCATCCAACCTCTTCCGTTTACAGATGAATAATGGGATGCCCAAAGAGGATGAGAAACCATTTATCGAACACCTATTAGGAAAAGGCACTTCCACAGATATTAGACTTGTTCAGCTAGTTAAGGTCAGAATTGGAACAGAACAGCCCAAGTTCTGAATTCCACAGCGTCCCTATTCACCAAACCATTCTATATTCTACATAGATGACAATGACAAGCCCCTAAAGGGGTAATGCTTCAAGAAAAAAAAGACTTTCAGAACCAGAGAGGACAATATGCTACCAGATATCTCCTGGAAGGGAAGACAATATAAAATCAAGACACACAACAGAAGATATGGAGACAGGAAACTGTGCAGGGGCATGGCAGAGCAACCCAGAGGAGGGAAAAAAAAAAAAAAAAGGCTGTCTACCTACTTAGCTAGACATCCATACATGCACGTCTATGTCCAGTCTTGACCTAAAATGAAGTTGATTCAATGAGGAGCTCATTATTCAAAAACTCATCAAATCTCTCTCAAAATTGTGTATGTCCCATTTGCTTTGGAATAATTTGGACAAAGACAATCAGCTTTTTATGGTTTTTAAAATTAATATTAAATTCTAGTAAATATTTAGGCATGAGAATATTAACTTTCAATTGACTTTACATAAATGAATTCAAATATTCAAGGATGTTGCTTGGTAATTCTAGGATATTTATTTCACCTGGGTTATGCTTGCAATATTCACACACACACACTCTCTCTCTCTCTCTCTCTCTCTCTCTCTCTCCCTTTCTCACCCCTTTTTCTTCCTCTATTACTCCCATCAGACTCCTAAGCAAAAATACTTCAATTATGTTCCCCGCTTCTGGCATCCCCCCATAACCAACTCCATCCTCAAGCTAGAAAGGAGTAAAGGAAATTCCCAAAGGGAAGGAAAACATATTAAAAAGAATCAGGAGGACAGAGTAAAGACAAAATGTAACTTCTTCAGTGCACTTTAGAACGAAAAAACCTGGTATGAGGTTAGGTCTTCTCCATGTCCTGGCATGGTTTCAATCTCATCAGCTTTAGCTGGTCCTATCACAGTAGGACGCACAGAGGACCAGGAGACAAGACCTTTGAGTATGACATCTCCCTTTTACTGAACACCTAATGTAGGCTAGTCCTTGAGCATGTCTTTTGCATATATTTGCCCATTCATTTCTTACAGCAACCCTGTGATATAAATGCTACTCTCTGCTATTTAGGAGATGTAAAGATGAAGGCTCAGAGAAATTAAGTGACTTGTCAAAGGGTATGGTCATAGCCAGGTCTCCTCATCTCTCAGGTTAATGACATGAATCCTTTATGCTACGTTGCTTCTACATTCAGACTTTTAGAGATTATTAAAGGCACTATATTAATGACAAAGAGTTTCTACTCTGTGCATCATGCTAAACCCTTTACATGTAGCAGACAATTTACTCCTTATAGAAACCCTGTATATTTGAGATTGCTGCCCCCATTTTATAAAAGAAGAAATTGCAGTCAGAGAGGTTAAATGAATTGTTACAAGTCATGTTTCTAAAAGCAGATGTGAACTAGGTCTGGGTCACTCTGCAGCCCATGTTTTCAAACAATCTGCTAGTGATTTTTAGCCTTTATGGGTTCTTAGACTCCTTTGAGAATCTAATAAAAGCTACAGATACTCATTTTTGAAAAAAAAAATATTTACACCAGGGTCTTTCCACAATTGTACATTTGGGCCAGATAATTCTTTGGAGTGAGGGGTCGTTATGTATGCTGTAGGCTACTCCATGTGTCCTCTAAAGCTTATTTATGATTGCTGGGGGGTGCAATGACCTTGTAGTTCATCCCCTGTGGTATATTCACTGGTGCCTGGGTACTTCCTCTGCCATGATTACTGGCAATGTTGTGTGGCTTAATCCACCTGGCTTGGCAAATTTTTTGTTAAACCCTCCCCTCAACTGCCCTGTTACCTCTAAAATTCTAATGAATACAGAGGAAAAGTAAGAAAGCCAAGGCAAAGAACTGAACTAGCCACTGAAGAATATGAGAGAAGCATGAGAAAGTGGGCTGGCTTTCCCAGGGGTAGCTGGCTGTGGCCCAAGGCCAGTCCACATTAGTCCAGGGTGTTGAGAGGATTAATCATGACCAGATGTTGGCTTCTGCCTCTGCATGCTTCTAACGGGGCCCTTGGTACGGCCTCCTGGGATATTATCAACTCCCAGGTCCCAAACCCCAAAGCTTGACTTCAGGTTGCAGAGCAGATGTTCCCTGGAATAGGGCTGGACCCCAGGCAAGATGGCACCTGATTCAGGGAGAGAATTATCTTCAACGAATCCTTCTCATGGCCCTACAATCACTCTATGACAACATCTGTCTACTGCATTTTTTGAAAAAACAAATCAAACCCCCCAAAAAACCCAAAACCCTAAACTAAGAAAAGAACCTTGTATTCCAGATTGAAATCATTTACCTTCATTTAAAAACAATTGCAATGGAAGGGCAAGAATGAATCAAGATTTTTAAAGTACAGTTGTTAAAACAAAAAAGCTACTACATGTTTCACATCATTTCAGCTTATGTGAAGAGGTCCATTCTTCCCAAATAAGACCTCTATTTTCCAGGCACAACAGACTGTACTTTGGTGTACATACCTTGGTGACTTTGCCCATATTCTTTCTTCTACCCAAAATGCCCTTTGCATTCCTGCTCACCTCTTCAAAGTCTACTTACTCCTCACCCCAAGCAAGCCTTGCAATTGCCTTCCTTTCATAGTTTTCTCCCCAGACAGAATTAAATGCTTCATCATCTCAACACCCACGATACTTCTCACATTTGCCTATCATAGCTCTTATCATATTAGTGTTTTTTATATATTTAATGTATTGTGTTACTACCTTCCTAGATTATAGAATGGGTAATTTTAAGTATGCGGTGTCTAGTCCACTATACACTGTTGTCTAACTCACTCTAAATGTTCAAGAAGTGCTTGCTAAATTAAGTCAGTCAGGTGTTTTGGTCCTGGTGTTAAGTTTCATCTACAAATTGTAACTATGAGAGAGTCACGAACCTAAGCTGTCTTGAATATGCCAGGGCATATTCAGAGAACCTTCAGAATTCCAAAAAAGAAAAAAAAAGTTTGATTACGTTCTGTATACTGCCCCTATCTCTACTTGTTCAGAAATTGTAAAATTTAAATTTATGTAATTCAGTTATTGTCTTAAGAACCTCACTCCATTTCTATGTAACAAACCAATGAAGTCCCAGCAGCAAATCACCTGTGGGCATATGAAGCTTTTATTTATTTATTTATTTATTTATTTATTTATTTATTTATTTATTTATTTTTGAGACAGAGTCTCTCCCTCTTGTTGCTCCGGCTGGAGTGCAGTGGTATGATCTCGGCTCATTGCAACCTCCGCCTCCCTGGTTCAAGCAATTCTCCTGCCTCAGCCTCCCAAGTAGCTGGGATTACAGGTGCGTACCATCATGCCTGGCTAGTTTTTGTATTTTTAGCAGAGATGGGGTTTCACCATGTTGGTCAGGCTTATTGTAATAAGCCTGACTATAGGAGTTAACATATGCATAAACCATTCTGAAATAATGCTTTCAAAATGTATTATAAATCTTTTCATTTTAAAATCATTCTGGAAAAATATGGGGCATAAACAGATATACTGCAACTTATGGCCTTTACTATGGCCACATTGAATCTTATAATTTCTTCTGCAAGAAAGTTTGAGAAATACTGACTTCAAACCATCAGAAATATTCTCTGGTGTACCATACAATAATAACATTCTGTGCTTGTTTTACACTTTTTTCTTTCCTGTCATTCCAGTTTCTTCTCCATCCTTTCCTATCTCCTTCCTGATTTTCTGCTCTTAATTTACTTTGGCCTAGAAAACCAGATTAAAAAGAAGCTTGTTAAAGCATATATGTTATATATGAATTAAGAATAATTTGCATGAATGCCTAACTAGGTTAGAATTTCGGAAGCCATTTCAACATACTTATCTTATTGATTTACTTCTTGGTGGTGGTTTTTATGCACTTGGCACTTGCTTATACTGAGATTGCTTAAAACCAGTCACTATAAAAATGGGTACAACCAGAATGCTAGAACAAAAACGTGTGTATATGTATGCAGAGTTCATACTGTGGTCAGAGTTTTATTTGAGCATTCTGGTTTGTGTCCATTTTCCTAGTGACTGGTCTTACGTGTGTGTGTGTGTGTGTGTGTGTGTATACATATATATGGCCTATAGGTACCCATAATGAAGACGAATATAGCTTTTCAGGGGAAAGTTACTATTTTCAGAGCCAAAGCATCATTACCATGCTATATCAACTTTTGTAGATTATAATTTCCTTTTTCATTAGGAATATCAACCCTTAAATTTTTTCAAGCCCACTGAGACAATCACGGAGTCCAAAATACACATCAAAATGTTGTAGCATTCCAAAATTTTATTCAGTATAGTGTACATGTAAATTTATTTCCTGTTTGCATTTCCATTCATGAAATAAAAATGCAAAAGTGATAAAGATCAGCAAGAAAAAACAATGATAGATGCTGGAATTATGGGATTTTTTAAAAAAAGAGATGGGGTCTCGCTGTGTTGCCCAGGCCTAGAGCACAGTGACTATTCACAGGCACGATTATACTGCATTACAGTCTGGAACTCCTGAGCTCAAGTGATCCTCCTGCTTAGTTGAAAATACAGGTGCCCATTACTGTGCCAGCTACTTTGAGATTTTAAAAGTAATGTTATATTACATTTTAATAGTTCCTATGGTAGAAAATTCATAAATAAGCCTGACTATGTGAATTAACATATGCTAACATTTTCAGATTTTTTTAAAACGGAAAATTAGCTAAAATGTATTTTTCCTAGGCTTAAATTAATAACTTCCTTTTTTAAGGTCAAATTCTTATTGGATATATAGTGATTATGAATTTATGTATATTTCCAGGCAAAGTTCCTGCTTTTAAAGTCCTTAAAATGTATCACATCTTTGTGGTTAGAAATAAAATGTTAGTGTTTGGCTTCTTACATTTGAGGAGTTTCAATAGCATTTTGACATTCTCACATTATCTGGTCCTTTTGCCAGAGGTAACAGCTTAGAAGTCACTGACTACCAGTAAGGATCCTCAAGGTTCTCCCACCAGTAGAAAACATTATAAATTTTAAGAAAAATGGCCAGTTGAAGAAATCATTTAACATTAGTTTTCCTTAAAAAGCTGTCCCTTTTATCTTCCTTTGAATTCATTAATTATAGATCTATCACATGATTTATAGATACCGGCAGAGATGGGGGTGGAAATTAGTCACGCTGGGAGCTCCTACTGGAGTTAAGTAGTTTGGATGCTGTTAAATGTCTCACATGACAATGAGACATGGAGATTCAGGATCAAGCGCCATGTTTCTGGATATTCTAGAGATGTGCATTTTCTCTCCAAAAATTTAGAGTTTAGTCATTTAAAAATATCATGATTGCTTGTATTGGTCCAAATTCTTTCTTTTGCCCATTACTAAACAGTGCAGATTATGAAATCCTGCATCCTTCAGAAGGAGAATCCCAAATTTCCTAAGCACACAAGAATCAAATTACTTCAATTATGTCTATTTCATATTCTGAGTGCATACATTTACAATTAGCCATGTCAGGCATTTTTCTTTCACTTAATTTCTTCATCATCAAGAGAATTTATTAAGCACAAACCTGGCTAATTAATTCTCTAGAGAATAACTGATAGTCTTAAATGTATTCTCTCTATTTAGCAGCCCCTAAACAATCTACCTGATATACGACATTCTTCCTTTAGCAAAAATTCCTGTAAATTTGAATTCTTACCTTACTAGGTCAAAGTTTCAGTAGGAGACATACCACTCCCAAAGTCAGCATAGTGAAGTCAAAAACACCATTCAGAACTGGTACAACAGACTTCATGGGACTTTTATTCTCACTACAGTGTGTTCTTACAATATCTTACCTAACTTTAAAGAAAGCACTATTCTAGTTATGTATACATTTTTAAAGTAATTCTTTAGGGTAGCAAAACAAGCAACTTAAGGAAGTGTAGTCCATAGATGTAAAAATTTTTACTAAAAATTTTCAGTTAATATGGTACATGAAAAGCAAAGCAAAGAAAAACCACTGATCTCAAAATGAATTTAAAATGTTTAGCAAATGAACATAAAAATATCTAACATCTTCAGACGGATCATTTAGACTTCATTTGTGCTTTCCTGGACAAAATAAAACGCAAATTTTGATGTGGATTTAGGGACATTTTGATGTGGATTTAGGGAAAGGTATTTTTTCTAACTGCAACAGAGCTGATACTTCTTTTTATTGAACAGCAACAGCACTACCACATAAATTCCAACCACAAAAGCAACATTTTAGAAAATCATTCTCATGGATGTCGTAACTTCATTCTGCTCATAATTCTTTCAGAAGCAGTTGACATATATGCTTGTATTTAGTATATTTTAGTTCTAGAAGCAACTACACTGTATGTCAGGGGCAAACGCCCAGGAAGAAAGACAGTAACTAAATGAAACCACAAACATGTAATGCATGCTAGTGCTTAGGCACATTGGCATCAATACTCTAAGAAGCAATATTCCGCTGTTATGGTCAATGGCCATATAGTACACTAAGAGGCATAGCTACAAGTTATGCTTCAGAGGGGCCTATGAAGAGCTCCGTATGACAAAACAGCCTGTAATCAAAAGTGGTGCAGCCTGATGCATGCACAGAAGAGTTTCTGGGCTTTATTTCTTAATGTACAGACTTGAAGTTAAATATCAAGTTGAGATTAAGCATTTGGATAATTCTGAGCAGGGTAGAATTATTGTTCTGTTGGTTTTTAGAATGAGTCAGGGACTCACTTCCAAGAGGGCGTCCTAGAGTAGCTGGCTGCTCTTGTTTCCAAATAGAGATTTACATCCTCTATTAGAAATAATTCAAACAAGAGATGACATGACAGAAAGCAGTAGACTGAGAATTAAGGAAAACAAAATAAAACAAAACAAAACAAAGCAATGCCCTCAATTAGAGTCGAGGTATTCAGGGGTTTTACATCTGGCAAGAAGTAGCCTATCTTTGTTTAGACCAATGGAAGCCCCCAGGAGAATCCAGCACACAGAATGCACAGGAAGAATTTGGTCATATCTTTCAAAGTAGTTTAGTTTTCAAAAAATCCACCTTCCCTAAAGGGAAAAACACCTTGAGAACTAATTAGTGGTATGAAGGGCGAGGAGAAAAAGATTGTGCTCTGGTTGAAAGATTATTTTGTTGATTCCGGGTAAAAACCTAGGGCCAAATGCTGAGACAAAGATGTTCCCAGTGCTGATCTCTCCTCTGCCCCAGAGACACTGTAGTCTGTTACATGTGTATCCTCTCAACAGGGACAGGAACAAAGTCTCAAAACAATTTTCCTAAGACAGAATCCTGAATCATAGAATGGGTGGCAATTTTCCGAGGCGTAACAGTGGATTACTGGAACAACAGTAGGAGAATGGAAAAATACTTTTTTTTCCCCTGGTTAATCAGATTTTTTGTGAACAAATCTCAGGCCTCTACCCTTTACACTGCAAAAGGTAAACAAGACAAATGGATACTAAACATTCACAAGAAGGCTAAGTTCATGACTGATGCCTCTTACTGTTTAAGATCAGCTATAAATATGCTGTCCAGTGGTTTTTAATGGTGTGATTGTCTGACTCAGCAGACCAGTGTCAGGAAAGAAATTTACATAAATGGAAAGTGAAATCTTTCTGCAAGAAACAGGACTGTTAGAAACTGCTTAGGTAAGGAGATGCTCACTTACACAAACATGGATATACATATTAAACCTGCTCGCCAATATCTGCTTGAGCTTAAGTTATTGCCCATAAAAAAGCTAAGATGTTTGCTTTTAATTTCCGAAAAGTCATCTCAGTTTCAATTTTACTTGGAGTAAATTCTACAAATAGAGCTGTCATTAGGAATAAGAAGACTAATTTCAAGCTGGTATCCACAAACATGACCAAGAACTCATCCTCAAACCTAGATGGCTTGGCTAAGGATGATAGCACCATACAAGACACCTCCAGGCGAACAGGCCCTGCTCTCTAGGAACATGAATGGATCATATGGAAGAGCTTCATTTCAGTGCAGCATAACGCAGGTTCTGGAGTCAGACTGCCTGGATTCAAATCTTAAAGTAATTCCTGGCTATCTGACCACAGGAAAGGCACTAAAGGGTCTAATCTGTAATTTCCACTTTGATAAAATGGACTGAAAATAATCCAATGTAAATGTGAATAAAGTTAGATAACCCATATAAAACACCTATCCTAGTGTCCAGCATATACTAAGCACAATAAATGTTCATTGCTATTGTTGTTGTTGCTATTACTACTATTTCGCTTTTGCTCCTGCTTATGTATTTCTGAGCCAGTTTTATAGATGGAGTGATGGGACTCAATTCTTTACCCTTCTCTGTATCTACATCTTTGCCATAACTTCATCGTGGCTGGAGTGTGTTTTCTACTGCTCAACCTTGGACTCAGCCATATGACTTGCTTTGACCAGTGGCCTATGTGTGGGGTGACAGTGTGCTAGCTTGGAGCCCGCGGATTCACCCACTGCCGCTGGCCCTCTGACAGCTCGAGGCATGAGAGGGACATGCGCCAGCTAGCCTGCTGATCCAAGGAGCAGGAGAAAGAAGTGCAGCACACTCAGATCTGCAGAGTTACAGTGGGATCAAGAGACACCAGCCTGAATCAGAATCCTACCCAAACCCCAGCTCCCCCACACAGAGCTATGAGAAAAATAAAGGCTTATTGATGTGTATATTACTGAAAAATTATGACTATTTATTATGCGACAAAAGCTAACTAAACCAAGGAGTAAACTGAAGAGGTGTCTGTCCAAAGTACATTTATTTCCCAGTGAAAAAGGCATTATCTCCACATCTAGTCTGAAACAAAAGTGGAAGGGTAAGTGTGAGACGACAGTTGCTTCAACAAAGCCAGAATTCTAGGTGCAGGGGTGCTCTGTTGAGTGTAACGGGGCCTTCTTGGCTTTGCTGTGGGAGAGGATAGACATTATTCATATCACGATTATTTTCAGATGGCTAACATTTATCAGCAGCTGGTGACAGGCACTGTGCTAAGCACTTGACACATATTGTCTCTTTTAGTCTTAACAGCAGCATGAGGAACCAGGCACTGCTAATTTCACAAATGAGGAAACTGAGGCATGTCAAGGCTGAGCAGCTTACCTACATGCACAGGGAGAGAGTAGGTAAGGCAGAATTCAAACTCAAGAAGTCTCCTTGCACGGTGTGAGATAATAATGAGGGTGGCAAGAGGTGCAAACGTGTATCCTTCCTCTATCATCACTTTATTGTTTTCATCACATTGTGTGATTTAATCCTGGAAACCTATGAAGTAGTTATTATTTATTATCACCATTCTACCGGTGAGGAAATGGGAGACAGCTGGTCAAGACCCTTGCCTACATTTCCATACAGCTAGCAAGGACTGAGCTGGACTTGAACACCGGCCATCTAGCTAACCAGTACACTATACTCACCTCAACGTGAAAGGACTGAAGCATGATCTTCCTTCTTTTTCTGGAAACCTAGAAAACTAAGCTTCTCTAAGTATACAAAAGGAAATATGCATTCTGGGCACCATGGTTTTCTTCAAGTGTATAAAATGTGATAAATGGCCTTTAATTTATACTACAATCACTCTCAGGCTCCACTGAGCTTTCATTCTTGCAAGCACAACTGTCTTATTTGCTGCCTTTATGTTTACTTGTTTTTAGTTTTGTTTTTCTGATCGTGTACTTTTAGGCTCAACTCTTGTCAGTTTACAAATCCAGAGGAATCCTATTGCAGTAATAAAAAGTATGCAAAAAAGAATGTGAATCATGTTGGGTTTTTAGAGGTAACTCTAAGAAGTAAAAATAACCAGTTAAGGTACAAAAACAGCAGCCAGTTATTTCCCAGATCTGTTCACACATATATTTTTTGTATCTGGCGGGAAAGTCTCAGTGGCCTCAAGTCTTCAGACACTTTCTCCATTCAGTCTCTAAGTACAACAGTCACATCTCCAAGTGCCTTCTCAAAGGATGTACAAATGTCATTCCTACCCACCTTAAAAGCAGCGCCTCCATGAATGATGGATTTGATAAAAATCCCCAAGTCTGTTCCAGTTTCTCTGGATTTGTTCCCTTTTAAGCTCACCCCGAGGCCAGCAGAACCTGAATCATTCAGGGGGATCTCAAAGGTGAGCTGCTCGCTTGTCTCCAGAGAGAGTGCACAGCAGTCAGGTTCTCCTTTCTGTTAGGGGAATACACATGAAAAGAGTGAAGAGAAGAAAGCAGATTAATATTTCACTCTCTCAGATGACCAGACACAGATGCAATCAGTAGGACAGGATGACTGGACCTCTCACAGCTGTAATCGGCTCCTGGCAGGCAAAGGCTGGGTTTAGCTCTCCACAAGGAGCCACAGTCACATCCATGGAGCAGGGGAAGAGGTTTCAGGGAATACTATTCGGTAATGGTCAATAGAGAGGATCGTTTGGCAAGTCAGAGCGATGCAATCTGAAACACCTCGCAAGCCTTTGGAAATTTACTAAGATATTCTCCATAATAAAAAAGGCTGGACATTAGACTTAGGGTGCCCTGGGTATCAGAAGAGATCTTAGAGATAATGGAGTCTTAACATCTTCACTTTACAGATGAAGGAACAGAGTTTAGTGTAGAAACGTCTTAAAATTTCAGGAAAATATGGGGCATATATAATTTAAAACATATCATTTACTATGGAAACAACACTATTGGTAAAGTTTGTTAATAAGACACAGTAAAAATGAGATGTTACTTTAAAGTTAGAGAAAAACGATTTATAATGGATATCATCAAATGAAATTTCACTTTGTCAAAACTCATGCTTTCAGCCTGCATCTTCAGGTAGTATAACTCACTGCCATTAAATTTTTAAACCTAAACAAAAATGATTATGCACAACAAACATTCATGTCATATTTGATAAATGACACCTAGCCGCAAGCATACTGGTCTCAAGAAACACAGAGTATGGTGGAAAAAGGCATATTTAGGGTTCAGGTCTCCAGGGAGAAGTATGTGGTTAATCATATTTGGTCCCCAGTGTTTTCAAATATACAGCAGTGGGAACAGACAAGTGCTGTCCACATGAGCATCTTTGTGGGTCTCCCTTCTGCATTCCTCTCAAGCTTGTAGAAATGTGAAACTGCCACAGTGTTCAACTGAAAAATCTGACAATGAGATACTCCTGGAAATGATCAACTCATTCTAGGTCGGTTCCTTCCTCTCTATAATTATATCTAGAGACTCCCATCTTAAGGTCACATTGAAGGGACTCTTATGTAAAATTACATATTTAAAAAATTACTATGAATGTCTGAATGTCAGTCACATATAACTATAAAATCAGAAGTAGCAAAGAACCCATAATTAAAACAGGATTAAGAGGTCGGATCACAGCCAGATCCATTGACGCGGCATTTTCAACCCCTCCCCAAATAGAGAAAATCCACAGCTAACTTTTAAAGAAATAGTTCTTTCATTTAATTTTCTTATAAGTGAAGTTGTCTGTGAAGATTTTGACAATATGTTGTTCAAAGAAATGAAACTTTATGGCTTAATAAATCTATTACAAGTTAGCTCTTTCAGCTAACTCATTATATTATTACCTAAAAAACAAATCCCATTATTTGATTCCAATTTCCATTGGAATGCCAGAGTTTCGTACTAAATGTAAACTATTAGCCTTCACCTTTGTCTTTCAAAATGCCCAATTTAGAATCCATAACATTTCAAAACCATTTATGTTTCCAGGCCTCTCTGGGATTTGCTTAATTTCAGTCTAATAAAGTTCCACTGAATTAAAGTGCAAATTAAAGAAAAACCATCCTACTGTAAGTTTGTGAACACCATTTCAAGAGAAAAACTAGAAAGGTTCTCTGGCTTTTGTCTATCAGAGACAAAGAGACAAGAACTAATTTTGCTTTAGTAATACCTTCAAATCACTTCATTTTATGATTAAATCATTCCTCTTTTGGCAATTATATTTAATTCTTAGCAAGACTGACAACCACTCTTTGCACTAACACTTATCATTTATTATTTAAGTGGTAGAAGCAAAATAGAAATCAGGTTGCATTATCATTATCTTTTCTTTTGAAAATTTTTTTTAAGTCTCTGACATCTGAGATTCAAGAATACAACAGAAACAATATACTAGAGGCTAACAATGATTGACTACTTCATTTCTGAGTACTTTACACATATTAATACACTTATGCTTCACAACAAACCTGTGAGGTTTATTGTCATGTCCATTCCACAGATGAGGAAACTGAGGTGCACAGCAAATAAACGCCATGTTTACAGCCCAGAAGACTTGGAATGTGGAAGCTTTGTGGGGCTCAAGCACAGTGTGGTTCCTATGTCAGACTCTCTTTTTTTTTTTATCTTTTCCTCTAGTGAATACTTCTGAGTGGTCTGCTGCATTTTCATGTTTGACATTATTCAATATCCATTTTCAACAAAAGTATACAATTTTAAGGTGACACATTTTCTTTTTTTTTAAATTTTATTATTATTATACTTTAAGTTTTAGGGTACATGTGCACAATGTGCAGGTTAGTTACATATGTATACATGTGCCATGCTGGTGTGCTGCACCCATTAACTCGTCATTTAGCATTAGGTATATCTCCTAATGCTATTCCTCCCCCCCCCGCCCACCCCACAACAGTCCCCAGAGTGTGATGTTCCCCTTCCTGTGTCCATGTGTTCTCATTGTTCAATTCCCACCTATGAGTGAGAACATGTGGTGTTTGGTTTTTTGTCCTTGCGATAGTTTACTGAGAATGATGATTTCCAATTTCATCCATGTCCCTACAAAGGACATTAACTCATCATTTTTTATGGCTGCATAGTATTCCATGGTGTATATGTGCCACATTTTCTTAATCCAGTCTATCACTGTTGGACATTTGGGTTGGTTCCAAGTCTTTGCTATTGTGAATAGTGCCGCAATAAACATACGTGTGCATGTGTCTTTATAGCAGCATGATTTATAGTCCTTTGGGTACATTACCCAAGAAAAAAACAAACAACCCCATCAAAAAGTGGGCGAAGGACATGAACAGACACTTCTCAAAGGAAGACACTTATGCAGCCAAAAAACACATGAAAAAATGCTCACCATCACTGGCCATCAGAGAAATGCAAATCAAAACCACAATGAGATACCATCTCACACCAGTTAGAATGGCAATCATTAAAAAGTCAGGAAACAACAGGTGCTGGAGAGGATGTGGAGAAATAGGAACACTTTTACAATATTTGTCGGACTGTAAACTAGTTCAACCATTGTGGAAGGTGACACATTTTCTATAGATAAACTATGATGTGGAAAGTGTTTTATTATTTTTTCTTTATAAATGTATATTTTAATTGACAAATCAAAATTTTTTTATTTTCATTTTTTTTAAAGTTTACTCTGTGGTTTATTCTAAACAAATTCAATTTAGCATCCAGGTATTACTGCTCCACTGGCCAACTGAAGTACTTATTTTTAAAAGTGTATTTCTGACTTTAAACACTTAAATCCATTGTGGTTTATTATGTCAATGTATATTTTGGAGCAGGCATAGCTCTGTGAAAGCCTGTTGAAATTTCTTAAAGGAGTCTGGGAAAGGACTCAGCTATAGAGCCGCTGCCCCTATTTGCAGAGAGCATGGATCTACACCGCAGACACCTCATGGCATATTCTGAAACTGTCCCTCCTAAAAGGGGCTGAATTCAGGCCCCAGTGGGGTAAATGTGTCAACCAACCAATAAGTTGTTTTTCATTTAGTACAAACAAAATTCAAGAACTAGCATCTGTGTGGGTGAGTGAGCTCATATTCTGAAATAAGAATAACCTAAATTTGTTTTTTTTTTTGAAATGAAATTTATTATTATTATACTTTAAGTTCTAGAGTACATGTGCACAATGTGCAGGTTTGTTACATATGTATACATGTGCCATGTTGGTGTGCTGCACCCATTAATTTGTCATTTACATTAGGTATTTCTCCTAATGCTATCCCTCCCCCAGGCCCCCACCCCACAACAGGCCTGGGTGTGAAGTTCCCCACCCTGTGTCCAACTGTTCTCATTGTTCAATTCCCACCTATGAGTGAGAACATGCGGTGTGTGGTTTTCTGTCCTTGCGATAGTTTGCTCAGAATGATGGTTTCCAGCTTCATCCATGTTCCTACAAAGGACATGAACTCATCCTTTTTTATGGATGCATAGTATTCCATAGTGTATATGTGCCATGTTTTCTTAATCCAGTCTGTCATTGATGGACATTTGGGTTGGTTCCAAGTCTTTGCTATTGTGAATAGTGCCGCAATAAACATATGTGTGCATGTGTCTTTATAGTAGCATGATTTATAATCCTTTGGGTATATACCCAGTAATGGGATTGATGGGTCAAATAGTATTTCTAGTTCTAGATCCTTGAGGAATCGCCACACTGTCTTCCACAATGTTTGAACTAGTTTACAGTCCCACAACAGTGTAAAAGTGTCCCTATTTCTCCACATCCTCTCCAGCACCTGTTGTTTCCTGACTTTTTAATGATTGTCATTCTAATTGGTGTGAGATGGTGTCTCATGGTGGTTTTGATTTGCATTTCTCTGATGGCCAGTGATGATGAGCATGTTTTCATGTGTCTGTTGGCTACATAAATGTCTTCTTTTGAGAAGTGTTTTTTCATATCCTTCACCCACTTTTGGATGGGGTTGCTTGTTTTTTTCTTGTAAATTAGTTTAAGTTCTTTGTAGATTCTGGATATTAGCCCTTTGTCAGATGGGTAGATTGCAAAAATTTTCTCCCATTCTGTAGGTTGCCTGTTCACTCTGATGGTAGTTTCTTTTGCTGTGCAGAAGCTCTTTAGTTTAATTAGATCTCATTTGTCTATTTTGGCTTTTGTTGCCATTGCTTTTGGTGTTTTATTCATGAAGTCCTTGCCCATGCCTATGTCCTGAATGATATTGCGTAGGTTTTCTTCTAGGGTTTTTATGCTTTTAGGTCTAACATTTAAGTCTTTAATCCATCTTGAATTAATTTTTGTACAAGATGTAAGGAAGGGATCCAGTTTCAGCTTTCTACATATGGCTAGCCAGTTTTCCCAGCACCATTTATTAAATAGGGAATCCTTTCCCCATTTCTTGTTTTTGTCAGGTTTGTTGAAGATCAGATGGTTACGGATGTATGGTATTATTTCTGAGGGCTCTGTTCTGTTCCATTGGTGTATATCTCTGTTTTGGTACCAGTACCATGCTGTTTTGGTTACTGTAGCCTTGTAGTAAAGTTTGAAGTCAGGTAGCGTGATGCCTCTAGCTTTGTTCTTTTTGGTTAGGATTGTCTTGGCAATGTGGGCTCTTTTTTGGTTCCATATGAACTTTAAAGTAGTTTTTTCCAATTCTGTGAAGAAAGTCATTTGTAGCTTGATGGGGATGGCATTGAATCTATAAATTACCTTGGGCAGTATGGCCATTTTCATGATATTGATTCTTCCTATCCATGAGCATGGAATGTTCTTCCATTTTGTTCCAAGATGGTCACATAGGAACAGCTCCAGTCTACAGCTCCCAGCATGAGTGACACAGAAGACGGGTGATTTCTGCCTTTCCAATTGAGCTATGAAGAGAGCAGTGGTTCTCTCAGCATGGAGTTTGAGATCTGAGAACAGACAGACTGCCTCTTCAAGTGGGTCCCTGACCCCCAAGTAGCCTAACTGGGAGACACCTCCCAGTAGGGGCTGACTGACACCTCATACAGCCGGGTGCCCCTCTGAGATGAAGCTTCCAGAGGAAGGATCAGGCAGCAACGTTTGCTGTTCTGCAATATTTGCTGATCTGCAGCCTCTGCTGGTGATACCCAGGCAAACAGGGTCTGGAGTGGACCACCAGCAAACTCTAACAGACCTGCAGCTGAGCGTCCTGAGTGTTAGAAGGAAAACCAACAAACAGAACGGAATAGGAGCAACATCAACAAAAAGGACATCCACACCAAAACCCCATCTGTAGGTCACCATCATCAAAGACCAAAGGTAGATAAAACCACAAAGATGGGGAAAAAACAGAGCAGAAAAGCTGAAAATTCTAAAAACCAGAGCACCTCTTCTCCTCCAAAGGATCGCAGCTCCTCACCAGCAAGAGAACAAAGCTGGACAAAGAATGACTCTGACAAGTTGACAGAAGTAGGCTTCAGGAGATCGGTAATAACAAACTTCTCCGAGCTAAAGGAGGATATTCGAACCCATTGCGAGGAAGCTAAAAACCTTGAAAAAAGATTAGACGAATGGCTAACTAGAATAAACAGTATAAAGAAGACCTTAAATGACCCGATGGAGCTGAAAACCATGGCAAGAGAACTACGTGACACATGCACAAGCTTCAGTAGCCGATTCGATCAAGTGGAAGAAAGGGTATCAGTGATTGAAGATCAAATGAATGAAATGAAGCGAGAAGTTTAGAGAAAAAAGAGTAAAAAGAAATGAACAAAGCCTCCAAGAAATATGGGACTATGTGAAAAGACCAACTCTGTGTCTGATTGGTATACCTGAAAGTGACAGGGAGAATGGAACCAAGTTGGAAAACACTCTTCAGGATGTTACCCAGGAGAACTTCCCCAACCTAGCAAGGCAGGCCAACATTCAAATTCAGGAAATACAGAGAACGCCACAAAGATACTCCTTGAGAAGAGCAACTCCAAAACACATAACTGTCAGATTCACCAAGGTTGAAATGAAGGAAAAAATGTTAAGGGCAGCCAGAGAAAGGTCAGGTTACCCACAAAGGGAAGCCCATCAGACTAACAGCTGATCTCTTGGCAGAAACTGTAAAGGCTAGAAGAGAGTAAGGCCCAATATTCAACATTCTTAAAGAAAAGAATTTTCAACCCAGAATTTCATATCCTGCCAAACTAAGCTTCATAAGTGAAGGAGAAATAAAATCCTTTACGGAGAAGCAAATGCTGAGAGATTTTGTCACTACCGGGCCTGCCTTACAACAGCTCCTGAAGGAAGCACTAAACATGGAAAGGAACAACTGGTACCAGCCACTGCAAAAACATGCTAAATTGTAAAGACCATCCAGGCTAGGAAGAAACTGCATCAACTAATGGGCAAAATATCCAGCTAACATCATAATGACAGGATCAAATTCACACATAACAATATTAACCTTAAATGTAAATTGGCTAAATGCCCCAATTAAAAGACAGACTGGTAAATTGGATGAAGAGTCAAGACACATCAGGAGACCCATCTCACATGCAGAGACACAAATAGGCTCAAAATAATGGGATGGAGGAAGATCTACCAAGCAAATGGAAAACAAACAAACAAACAAACAAAAAAGCAGGGGTTGCAATCCTAGTCTCTGATAAAACAGACTTTAAACCAACAAAGTTCAAAAGAGACAAAGAAGGTCATTACATAATGGTAAAGGGATCAATTCCACAAGAAGAGGTAACTATCCTAAATATATATGCACCCAATACAGGAGCACCCAGATTCATAAAGCAAGTCCTTAGGGACCTACAAAGAGACTTAGACCCCCACACAGTAATAATGGGAGACTTTAACACCCTGCTGTCAACACTAGACAGATCAATGAGACAGAAAGTTAACAAGGATATCCAGGAGTTGAACTCAGCTCTGCACCAAACAGACCTAATAGACATCTATAGAACTCTCCACCCCAAATCAACAGAATACACATTCTTCTCAGCACCATATCACACTTATTCCAAAATTGACCACATAGTTGGAAGTAAAGCACTCCTCAGCAAATGTAAAAGAACAGAAATCATGACAAAACAAAATTATATATATTTATGGAGTACAGCATGGTGTTTTAAACTATGTATACATTGTGGAATAGCTAAATTGAGCTAATTAACATATGCATTACCTTATATTCTTACGAATTTGTATGTGTGTGTGTTGAGAACACTTAAATTCTACTCTCCTAGAGATTTTCAAGTATAAACTACAATGTTATTAACTATAGTCACTATGTAGTAGGATACACCTCTTGAACTTATTCCTCCTAACTGAGATTGTGTCTTTTGACCAACATTTCCCCACTCTCCTCCTCCTCTGTGCCTGTAACCACCATTCTACTCTGTGAGTTCAACTGTCAGACTCTTCACTGCCATACTATACTGTATCCTTGTGTCTCAACTTTTGTCCATTCCATGATTTGACCCTCAAGAAATTCCAGGACAGATTTCTACAATGACAGTAAGACACTATGCCATTTACATTCTCCACCCAAGTACAGTTATGTTTTATATCTTTCTTATGCTGTACCAGGCTTAAGCCATAATTAGTGCCCTCTAATAATAGCAAACTTCCCAAATGGTAAAGGAAACCATTACAGTAGTTAACACAGCCATTTCCTCTGTTAGAAATAAATGTCCCTTTATCTAACATTAAAAAAATCAATATGCTGAATGCCTCCCTCCAAGAATCCTGGTTCAACCAGTAACTCTCAAAATTAAACTCAAATCTTGCCAGACAGCATTTTGTAGCAAAATGGAAATGGGTATAAAGTACTACCAAGTGCCCTAAATGCCAGACCTTAGTGATATGACGAACCCCCAAGCAGTGGCACATCTAGACCTCGGATTCTCCTGGTTTCCATCTTTCAGGCAACAGCTCTTTCCACTCACAGATTTCAAGCGTGTGTGCACACACACACACACACACACACACACACACACACACACACAGAGCCTGGCTGGCGTAGTAAGGGAAATCTTGTGAATTTCATTTAGTTTTAAATCTTTTCATTACTTGTTATTCTTTGCCACTAGAGGCTCTGTCCTTGAGATTCCCAGAGCCAGGCCCAGAATGGATGCTCTAATGCCTCCCCTGCATAGGTGTAGGCCTAATGCCCAGCACCTGCCCAGGGCTGGTCATACAGAACCTTCAACTTAGGCTTTTTTGACCTTGGCACAACTGATATTTGAAGCCTGATAATTTTTTGTTGTGGGTGTCTGTCCAATGCAGTGCCTGATATTTGACCAAGTCCTTGGCTACTACCCACCAGACGTTAGCAGTACCCCCTTCCCCAAGCTGTGACAATTAAAATGCTTTCAGACATTGCCAAATGTTACCTGGGGTCAAAATCACTTCCAATTAAGAACTACTGCCCTGAATCAACAATTGGCAAATGCAGTCAAATTCAAAGCAACCAGGGCCCAGAAGGTGTTTTAGCAACAGGCTGCATTGCTGCCTGTTCATATGTTTCCAAGTCCCAGGAAGGGGTGGCAGTTTTTACTGTGAGGGATGCCAGATATCTCTGAGTGGAGAAAATAGGAGATACTTCAGCACAATTAAGATGAAAAAGTGTTAGATCCACAGGTTCATGACTGAACACTTAGTTGGTCAGAATGAACTGCTGGAGAATCCTGTAATTGTTATATTTCTAGTTACATGGCAGCTAATTTTCCAGAGGAAGTATGATCTCTGTGGGATGAACAGAGGAGGACGGGTGGTAGAAAACAAACTTATTGGTACATATATAAAATGTTTCCTTTTACTTATATAGGAATCCAGGATGGGGCAAGGCACAGTGGCTCATGCCTGTAATCCCAGGACTTTCAGAAGCCGAGGCGGGGAGATGACTTGAGGTCAGGAGTTTGAGACCAGCCTGGCCAACATGGGTTTAAGAATCGGAAAGAGGAAACTGAAGAGTCTACCTGGTCAGGCCTCGCTAGATATACTAACCATTTTTTAGAAAACAAATATCAAAAGTAATTACTTGGCATGAGAGGAAGAAAGAGAGGAAGGAAGATGGATGACTGGGGAGACATCCATACTATTACCTTAAGAGTGTTCCAAATAAGGCCATCTCTGGAATCACAAATGTCTTGTACTGCAAAGCAGTGCCTGATTCACGCATGCAAGTGGTAATAACCCAGCCTTTCAAAGCCCAGGGGAATCCACCAGTCCACAGGGCCAACATCCAATTTCCCAGAAGCCCAGCTCAGACCTGAAAGCATCCATGCTGAACCTTTTATGGCCCTCATTTCATTAAATGCTGTGCTCTTGGCTCAGCACGAGCAACCTCTGGATGTCTTTGCCTTGCCTCCCAAATGTGTAATTAGTCTGTGTTGTGAGCAGCTTACTTTATGTAAGAATTATGTTTCACATGCAATCATTTTGTCAATTACCAAAACTCAAACAAAAGAGCTTTTTTTTTTTAAAAAAAGAATAACTTTTAAAATATATAAAGCAAAAGCCATATCTGGCAATTCTGCCAGGATATTTTATAATAAGCTTATCCATTGTTAACTTTTGCCTAAGTAAATTCTAAGAAATTTAAGGTGACAAAACTTTTGTTACAGCTAAATAAATTTTCACAACAATGAAAGGATAAGACACCTGCAAGACACTTAATTTTCTGAAATTATTTAATCTTCTGAAGAAGCACTGGGTAGCTATTATAAGCATGAAAGGTTTTTGGCCAATTGGATTATATAAAATTCAGAATGTGGATATCATCCTAGAGTAGGGATCAGAGACTCATTTCAACAGCAGGGAGGCATTTTATTTTCAATTGTACTTTTCTGAGGGTAAAGAAAAGAAAAAGATGAGAGATGAGCAGGCACATGTCAAAGAAAAAGGTGATCTAAGGAGGATCATTTTTATTATACTAAATAGTAAAGGACATTTCCCTTACTACTGCTGATGTAATCTTGGTGATTTACAAGTATGTAGATGATCTTTTAAAGTATTTCACCCTCTAAACAACACAGACTATATAGATAGACAATATAGATGATAGACTATAGATAGAAAATAGAATATATAGATAGATAGACAATATGGACTATATAGTCTAGAGGGCAAAATACATTAGAATACAGACAATATTATATATACTCTATATTGTCTAGCTATAGACAACAAAAATAAATTAGAATATAGACTATGTATGTCTGTATTGTCTGTATAGCCCTATGATCTCTGATATATATTAGAAAACCCACACACATCTGAATTGTACTCTAATTTGTTGAGAGTTAACTCAAAATTCAATATTACGTCACTCATAAAGAAAGGAAAAATGTAAGTTAACGTTGCAATAAATAAGAGAAGAGTTTCACAGAGCTCGGTGTAACCAGCTCTGGTATTTACTTTCAGTAAAAGAAAACTTTTAAGATATAGGTTATAGTTAGTCCAATAATGTGACTATCTTAAATATACGTCCTTATGTGACTTCCTGAAATCTGTATCTATTCCTTTGAAATAATTTTCGACGACAGATATGAGTGAGACAATTCTAGACATTCTTTATAATTCAGACATTTTTTTTCATGTTTTTAAAAACCCATCCCCATGAAAGGGGGTAGAGGGAGGAAACTACTAAAAGCAAGAGCCGATCTCTGACTCAACTTACCAAAAACCAATTTTCTTTAAGTAAAGGATTAATCTAATACTAGAAAATAAAAATCAGAAAATGGCCATTCCATATTGCCTGTTCAATGTAATATTTAGTCAGTACCTTAATGTAATATTGTACCTTAATATAATATTAAGTCAGAGATTAAAACTAACAAAAGTAAAGCAAGTCAGATTTAAGATTCCTACAGTAACCCTCTCCCCCGAATATAGTATATAACCTTGAAAGATCAGAAAATTCAATGTTTAGTGACACAAGGAAGTTTTTTCTTTCCAGATAAAGATTAAAGAAATGAATATAATATTTTGTGTCATGAAAAATAACAAATAGAAATTTTATAATTCAGACAATATGAAATTATACAACTACAACTTGCTTTGTTTATATTGAGGAACAATAGGACGTTTTGTTTTGTTTTTACTTCTTTCTGTTAAAAGTAGATTAGAGAAACCTGATTAGACCTGTCTTAAGTATTATATTTTACATGCAATAATTTAGTGATTAAAATACATGACTGTGGCCAGGCACGGTGGCTCATGCTTGTAATCCCAGGACTTTGGGAGGCCAAGGCAGGCAGAACACTTGAGGTCAGGAGTTCGAGACCAGCCTGGCCAACATGGCAAAACCCCATTCCTACTAAAAATACAAAAAATTAGCCGGGTCCTATAATCCCAGCTACTCAGGAAGCTGAGGCAGGAGAATCGCTCCAACCCGGGAGGCGAAGGATGCACTGAGCTGAGATCGCTCCACTGCATTCCACCCTGGGCAACAGAGTGAGACTCCATCTTAAAAACAAAAAAACAAAAAATAAAAAAAGAATGTGTCCTTTTATATGAACATAAGATTCAGGAACAAACAATATGATGTAACAATTTTTTTTTTTGAGGCGGAGTCTCGCTCTGTCGCCCAGGCTGGAGTGCAGTGGCGCTATCTCGGCTCACTGCAAGCTCCGCCTCCCGGGTTCACGCCATTCTCCTGCCTCAGCCTCCCGAGTAGCTGGGACTACAGGCGCCCGCCACCACGCCCAGATAAATGTTTTTGTATTTTTAGTAGAGACGGGGTTTTGCCGTGTTAGCCAGGATGGTCTCGATCTCCTGACCTCATGATCCGCCCACCTCGGCCTCCCAAAATGCTGGGATTACAGGGGTGAGCCACCGCACCCAGCCTGATGTAACAATTTAATAACCTTAAAAGGGAGCATAATGGGCCTGATCCTGAGAAGTAGCCCATTTGGGAAGCTGGGCCCTTAGGAAGATACTTCCAATATCTTTGCTATCACAAATTCTTTGATGCCAGGCTACCTGCATGTAACATCTTTAAAAGATAGCACAACATCAAGGACAAGAATGAAACATAAATGACAGTACAGAGCATCTCATTAAAGTGAGTACATGGGCTACGGTGCCTGCTGTATCCACAGATGAGACTTGCACCCAGGAAGCAAGGGTGGCACCGACTGATGTGCAGGTGCCCTTCGCTATGGACAGTCAATCCACAGGCTGCTGGCGCTTCCCCAGGAGGTCTGGCCCAAGGCTGTGCCCATTTAGGGCTGGCTTCAGAAACCAACGAAGGCAACCAAACTGGCTCCCTCTAAAACTTGGATCAATCCAATGTCTAATATACAGGCTCTCAGCCATCGCATATGGGGAGAGAATGAGGGTGTCTATGATGAAAAAATCTGGGGGAAAAGGTGTTTTTTTTTTTTTTTTTGACTTCTTGGAGGCTATTTTTAAAGTTAAAACATATTCAGAGTCTTTGAGAGGGAGACAGAGTATGCAGGGTTTCCTAACTTCCCTGGCCATGAAAACAACTTTACACGGAGCATGCCGTAGAAATTTTCCCTAGCATACACTTAAAGCAATGGTGCCTTAGAGAACATGGGGGAGAATGGGCTAGAGGGAAAGGAGCAGAGGACAGAGATACCTTGTAGGTCACCAGCAAGGTCTGAGAGATGCCACAGAGCTGCATGATTAAACCTTCCAGTTCCATTATTTCTACATCACACTTCTGTGTAAATGACATATTTCACAATTAGTATTAAAAACAGAGTATCACAAAAGTGGAGTACTGCCTCATGCTGGCTTTTAAAGATGCAGAGCAGCAGGTACGTTCTGAAATTTGTAGAATTGAGTCTTGTCTTTATTCCATAAATGGATAAATGATGTTTCATTTCCATATGAGAAATTTCTTTTCTCTTTTTTTTTTGCGGGGGCGGCGGAGGGTTGGATTGGGAAGTTTCTGTACAGAAAGACAATTAGTTACTGGATATTTTCACTGAGATCTTAGGAAGTGCCATAGTTAAAAAATATAATCTTAAACCAGTAGAGTAGAAATTTGAGAGTGTTCTACACAGCCACCTCAAGTTTAGGTATATGTGCCGTTATTTAGGGTACAATAACTCTCTTAATAAAGATAATATAGCTTTCTTCCCAACTCAAGGATTTTAAAGGCAGGGATTACATCTCAATCATCTTCATTTTCCTTAGAGGACCCAGTGAATGTATTTCACTTTAAGGCTCAGGGAGTAACATTTATTAAATTATGCTATAATGTAGTAACAATACTACCACAGCCTCGAAAAGAGGCAGTATTTTTGTAGGGGCATGAGCGGGGAGTTTCTTTTCGTTGGTTAAAGCTTCTAAGAAAATCAAACAATAAAAGCATAGCCCTTTTTACCCCATCCTTTTCTCTCACGTTTGAATTGCATCTAATGTGATTCCTGCTGGATACCAATCCCCTTTAGTATGCTGTTAATGATAAATAATTCGAAATTCCAAGTAGAGATTGAGAAATCTCAGTGGGTAACAACCACTTAAAATTCACAGTACATGTTTACTATTTTAATGAAAAAGTTCTTACCATATCTACAACATGTCATTTGTAGATAAAAACATATAATTTGCCTTTTATCTTAATAATTAAATCAATTACTCTGTTAAAATTGTCAGATACAACTGACTATAAAATAAGAAGTCACTTAGGTCTTATAGAAGATGACAAATCCATTAAAATTAAAATGTGAATATATCTTCCTATCATCATACTACAAACAAATTGAAGGGAGAGGGGAAATCTACCCAGAATTAATTCATAAGGAAAAGTGAAGGAATTTATCAGTCAGCTACTGTCACACAAATGCTGCATAACAAATCATCCCCAAATTATGATATGCACAATAAAGCATTTATAGCTGGCTCATATATCTACAGGTTGGCTGAGGTTTGGCTGATATATGCTAGGCTCATGTAGGCTTGCCTCCAAGCTATGAATTAGGTATACGTCTGCTCCACATATCTCCCATCTTCCTTGGACCACCACATGCCTGAAGTATATTTATCACATGATAAAAGGAAGAAAAAACAAAATAACCTTTCAAGAATTTGCTCACGTGATATCTGCTAACATCTTATTGGCCAAATGAATTCGCATGGCCAAGTCCACAGCCTATGGTTGGAAAGTACTCTCCAAACACCATGGGGCTATGCCAAAGCTATATAATGCTGCAATTTGAAAGTAAAGAATAAAAACTAATAATCCCATCCACCAACTGGATGCCATTTTTAGGGGGAGGAGGGTGGAACACATGGGACCTATCAAGGGTTAATGATATATTATAGAATTTATATTTCTCTGAATCACATCTTTCCCTTCTCTTAGGTATCACATTTTCTATTTGACACATATATTGCTTCTAGGCTCTGAACCTCAGAGTAGCATCTTGGTTTGTGAGATTTTCCTGAAGTAGGGAAATACATAGCCTAGATTCAGGAAAATTCTTCCTGCATATCCCTGCACTGTTCATGCCAGGTTCTTGAAGGGGATTGTTCAGGTGGCTCCAGAGCCCTAAAATACTGGCTCGGGCTACTGAATATTGTCTTTTATTTCACATTACTCTTCCTCAGTATTCATCTTCCAAGTGTTCCTCTCCCGTGCTGTTATATGTATAGAAAAGCAGGACAAGGGTAAGGGAGCAATTTCTATGGCCTTAATTCCTGTAAAATCAGTGTGTAATTACAAGAAGTTTAAAAGTTCAGCACACTTCCAATCAATATTTTGCTGGATGTAGGTTGAGCAGGACTTCTTTCTTCCCTGAACTAATGGATCTTAATTTTCCAACAAAGTTAAGTATGCTTCAAAGACTAAACAAGTACTATCTCAGTTCAGTTCATGCCTAAGGAATTAATTTTTTCAAATTAATCCATCACAGCCCCGTTTTTACTTGCTGATACATGAAAAAGAAAGACTCATCGAAGCACCACAAGTGGATGAATCTTTTTAGTCAATCATTTCCCTGATGGCGCAAACCCACAATTTTTACGATACTTAATGAAATCATACATAAGGAAAAAAACACATTTCATGTGTGTATATATCAAGTGCTGACATAATATTCAACTGAAAAGAAATTTCACAATGAAGGGGTAATGGAATTAAGAATTCTTTGCACAATATTTCAAAATATGCTTTATGTCTCAGCACATAAGCTACCTCTTCTTTTAACTATTCCCTGACCTTATCAGCACAGGAACAATATGCCCTTCTCGCAGCTCCCATTTCACTTATGTTTTCCCATTCTGATGATTCGCATCACTTTCTTACAATTATTTGCCAGCTTGCCTATCTTATTTATTTATTTATTTATTTATTTATTTTTTGAGACCGAAGTCTCATCCTGTCACCCAGGCTGGAGTGCAATGGCGTGATCTCGGCTCACTGCAACCTCTGCCTCCCGGGTTCAAACGATTCTCCTGCGTCAGCTTCCTGAGTAGCTGGGATTACAGGCACGCACCACCACGCCTGGCTAATTTTTGTATTTTTAGTAGAGACGGGGTTTCACCATGTTGACCAGGTTGGTCTCAAACTCCTGACCTCTTGATCCGCCCACCTCGGCCTCCCAAAGTGTTGGGATTACAGGCGTGAGCCACTGTGCCTGGTTGCCTGTCTATCTTAACTCTGCTATACCACTGTGATCTCATCAAGGGCAGAAATTATGTTTAATTCAACTTTGATTCCTGTTTAGCATCCAGCAGAATGTATGCATCTAGTAAGTATTCGTTATGCGATGACTTCATACATGTTTTGTTGACACTTCTCTGCCACAATACCTCTTTGAAATTGTATTTAAGTTCCCTCCCAAAAGCGACTACTATGTCTTTCATCTTATCTACCAAAATCATAGTTTTCAACACCTCTCACCTAAACTTTTTATCATGTTTAGTAAAGGAAACTGGAATTAATCAAATGTTACATATACCTTCTTTAACTATTTAAATGGGATTCTCTCCACCTAAAACTTATGCTCTCTCTTTACCCTGCTTTGCCACCCACTAGCAAACTCTTACCTATCAAATCCCATCTTAATTGTCACCTGCTGTTTGTGGCTCTCATCTAGGTCTTCAAAACACTCTATACATAATAAAAGCATAGCACTAATCACGTTATATCATGGTTATTTATTATTATGTACATCTTTAAGGACTTTAAGGGCAACAGAGACCACTCCATTTTTATGTTTATGCCACTGTCCCTTATCCCAACGCCATGCCTAAGAACAAGTGTATGGTACATATTTTTTAAAGAACATTGTCAACAAGTGCTCCTGCAGTTATTTCTTCCGTTGTAGCTCAGTATGTGCCACGTTCTCATTAAAATTAAAAAACAGTTCATAAACTGCTAATTAAGCTTCTAGTTTCAATACTTTATAATACCATCTTATAGACTGGTAGTGTATTTGGTAAAAACAAGATTCACTATAACCACCATCACCATCATCAAATGGTATTTTGGAACATTAGATAATATATTTGGCATATCTACAGTAACAAAGTGATTCCCCTTTTTCCATTGCCATAATAGTGCTAAGCATAACCGTAACCTGTTTGCACTTTGATACACATGAAGGGCTGAGCTATGCAAGAAAATAGCTTGCAAATGTTTCTAAGATCTTACATTTACTTTGGCTCATTTGATCACCATATCCACTTCTGAGTTTTGATATGGGGTGGAGTAAATCTGTCATTCACTTCTACTTTATTATGACAGCTGGTGCTATTTGGCAACTACCCTGTTCAAATTAAACCAAAAAAAGCAATTTTTCACATTTAAAACTAAGACTATGTCTACATCAACATCTAAACAATTGATTGAAAAGTTTAAATTCACTCAGGGAGCAAATTCATTTGTTCTAAATAAAACTGAAAAGCCAACTAAAAGTTGCTCTGACAGTTGGTGGTGCTTTTATTTTTTTATTTTTTCTTCTTAAATAACGGAATTGGGAAGCAGTTTGTAAGCAAGCACAAAGTAACATACTCTTAATATATTCAGTCTCCCAGTTTTTGTCCTTTCAAAACCGTTGCACATTAGGTACAGATAATTCAGAATACTTTTATACTCTATTTGACCCGAAAGAAGAACCAAACTCATAATTCAAATATGCTAATGACTGTTAAAAGAGACACCTGACCAATTATTTTCTTGTTAAGGCAGTTCTTGACACCATCCGTTATCCCGGTGGATGTAGAGTTCTTCCCATAATTTTAGCCACATCAAAAGTAGGGCACTAGCTAAACAAACATGTATGATTTATAAAGGCAGCCATATTTCAGCAATGCAAAACTAGTGGCCTAATATTTAATGAAGACTGTATGTTCAGATGCCTTTTCGACTTCATTTTTTTCTGCTAAATTGTAGAAGAAAATCTCAGCCTACCAAAAAAATGCTGAGAGATATAACCAAAGAATGAAAAATTCTAGATTTATGAATAAGTACAAATCATTTACTAATGTGTTATAATTCAATATGCATATATCTTTTAAAACCATTATTCAGCATAACAGTACACATTGTACTTTGTCTAGATCTCTAACTTCGAACAAAAATATCTATTAGAAAAATCAACTGCTACTTCTTAAGAAACATTAATAGTATTCTAAGAATACTGTGTATAAGCAAGACTCATTTTGTTTTCCTAACATCCTATTAGGATGATCTCCCATATTCTCTCAAAGAGAAACAGATTTGGAAACTTTAAAAAAAAAAAAAAAAAAAGGAACGGTCTTCCTTTTTTTTTTTTTTTTTCACTCTCTGGACTATGGTAATTAATGTCTACTCAATACCACGCTCAATCATCTGTCTCCCCTGGGACCACACTTTCAATTAAACCTTTTATTTCATCCAAGAATGCCTGTTCTCATTGACCACTGTGCTTTTTATCTGTGGATTTATGATAATCTAATGCACATCTCCTCACAGGCAGAATGGCCTTATACATCCTTATTGTTCATATACCAGAAGAGAAGTGAAAAACAAAATTAGCTCCAGCGGAAGCCAGGAAGGAAACTGCATTTGTTTAACACAGCGAGGGGCCTTTCACTACCTGCCCGGTGGCCTTGGCCATTACTCCGCCCTGGCCTCTCAATGTGCCGGCTGCCCCTGGCCTGGCTGTGTGCTTCTGATAAGAGATGCCAACTCCCTTGAGAGCTATTGAGCTAAGAGCAGAGGCAACGCAATCTTTGGGAAATATTTTCAAAGGTTTGTGAAGGAAGTAAGACATTCACATGCGATCAGTATTCTTTTCTGCAAGAAACCCTACAGGTTAAAGAGGAACCTCTGAACTGCTATCTGACAGCAAAAGCTTGGCTTCTTAATAAGTAAGCCACTAGCTTGTTTGCAGCTTTTTGCCTTTACTTTCTTTCCAGTTAGGACACACATGATTTATTTGGTTTCTGTTTTAGAAGGGCACAAATAATAGTGACATGTTATTAACTTAACCACCATGAAAATCATACTCAGTTTTTTTTTTTACAATCATACTCAGTTATACAGCTGAAGACAAAGTTCTATCTAGTACACTTCTATCTCTTTATGATATAGAGAATAAGTCACTGTTATGTATATCCCAAACATGAACAAATGTAGCAGCCTTCATCTTTGTTTAATTTCCTTGCATGCCTACATAGTACATAAAATTATCAAGTTAATAATTGCATTAATACTTATTTATATAATTTATTTGCAACCTAATACCAAAGAGGAATTGAGGTGATTGCATTAATAATTACACTGAAAATATACGCCCAGTTTCCAACAAGTTGCTAGTGTTGACATAGTCATATTTTTCTAATAGAAGAATCCAGAACCCAGAGGTTTTTTTTATTAAAGGTGGCCAAAACCTTAATGAATAATGTTTGTAATTCATTCATTTTAATGTGTAATGGAAACAAGCTTTAAGTAGACAATGACTGTGGGTGTGGGTACAGGCAAGGCAATTTCTAGTTAGAAAACAGGCTGATGCCATAAGTTTGTCTGTAAACTTGGTGCCTGCACGTTGAGCCTTTGTTTTTCTTAAAAAAAAAAAATACTGATAAATTTTGGCTACATTTCTCTCTTAGCCAAGAGTGCTTGTTTACTCCATGGTATCTCCAAAACATACTAGTAAGTAATAATTTGCATTCTATTGGATGGGTTATAGTTAACCATGTTCTATGGGAGAATACACTGAAACCTCCAATTCAGGAATGAAGGATCACACTTCCCTCTGAGCTGGCTATGGGAGTGAAGTCCCTTATGCTACCCACAGCAGTGGTGGCATCAGTAGAGGATTGGAGGAAGGGCTCCATCTGTGCCTACTACTATGGCAACAAGCGTTGCCATGGCAGGGGTCGAAGAGGTAGCCATGAGAAAGATATCTGTTGGCAATCTGTTAGCTCTACATTTACTTAAGGTAATCTCTAGGTCAAATGTTCCCCAGACATTCTGAAGTATGGAACAAACAAACACTAAGAAGAGAATTCATGCAGCCCATTCCCATTCATATATACAGATCTTTCATAATTTGGGCACTGTCTGTATTGAGTGTCATGCCAAGATTTGATGCACAGAAACTTAGAGGTTATTTTGGAATAGGAAAGAATCTTAAAAGACAATTCAGTTCAATTTCCTCCTTTTACAGATAAAAAAAATTCTTCTCCCTCTTTATTGTCAAATTACTTTTTTGATAATTTCAGCATTTAAATACTAAAATTTAGTTTATCAACATCTATACAACTAAACTTCTATTCTTCAATGCCAATTCAGATTGTAGATGTCTAAAAGAGTAATTCTCTATGTGAGGTGGGAGAAGAACGGGAGGGGAAAGCACATTCTTCATCTAGGGAGACTGGTGTCCAGCATAAGAGAGAAATGCACGTATATGTCAAGAGCCACAATGTTTTAGGTAAAAACGCTGCTAAACAGCAATGTAGGGGAAAGGAGCATGCCTGGCCTACTCTGTATCTTCAACACTGTATTTGCATAAAAACAAGAATTTATGGGAAAATAAGAATAAGAATTATTGGGAAAAGATTTCCCAATAAGAAATTCATGAACGGAATTAAGACTCAAGAAATTAAACGACCATTCAAAACTCAACCATCTACTGACAGTCCTGGGCTGATAACTTGAATCTTCCATCCCTGACCAATACTTATTCGGCTATAGAACAGTGCACACTCCCACTTCCCTATCGGACTCCATGAATTATATCTCCTTGAAATGTGATTTGGTGCTCTTTCCATCCTGAAAGGAATCTATTCCTCCATCCCTGGGATCTTGTCTGGCCTTGTGACTTGACCTTGTTTTGACCAAAAGGATGAAGCAGAAGTCACAGTGCAACTTCCAAAGTTAAGACTTATGAGCCCTACATCTTCTGCTTTTGTTGTCTTGGAGAATGCCATGTAAGGACACTGAACTAGCCTTTTGGAGGGTGGGAGGGCACATGAAGGAGGACCATGGTGTCCCACCCAACAGCTATTAGAGTACCAACTGACAGACACGTGTAAGGAAGGCCATTCTGGGCCTTCCCGCCCAGTAGACTCTCTGGTTCAATGCAGCTCCATGCATAAGTCTAAACGAAACTGGCAGGGGAAGAAGTCACACAACCCACAGAACTGCGAGAAATAATAAAACATAATTTTAACTCTTAAAGTGGTGGGTAGTTAAGTTAAATAGCAAGAGATAACTAAAACATAGAACTTATAAAGGAGGGCATTAGTTCGATTTTAAATTCACATCTGATGGGTTTTTAAAAAAATGTGGTCTTGTTACCGACTTTAAATGATAGCATAAGTAGCCAACAACATGTCACTCTAACAAAAATGTTCCTTTCTGTTCCTTTCCTTCCTTTTCTGCAGTTTTCTTTCCTGCCTTCGGAAAGATGTTCGTTATTCATTATTTGTCCATATTTCTGGAACTTTTTTCTCTTCTTGCTTCTTCGAATCTATCTAGGGCCTGACCAGAGTCCCACCTCATAAACGAAATCTTTCATGATTTTAAAGTCCTTTGACTTTTAAAGTCTTTTGACTTTAAAGAACTTTAATTTCTTCCTTTTTATAACTTTTATGTCCTTATTAGCCCCTTAACCTCTTCCTGAAACTTGTGCAACTATTTTTCTTTCATTAGCTTTCCCTACTGACAGGTACCATGCTATATTCTTATATTGTTTCTCTAATACCACTTAGCATTATCTATGAACTCCTGGAGTTAAAGAATCATGTTTTAGTACATTTTAGAATACCCACTGCATGGAACAGCATCTAGCAAAAATAAACATTCAATAAATATTTGATCAGCTAAACTGGGAATAGTAGGTGTTCAGTAAATACTTGCTGAACAATTGATTCCTGTCATCTCCAATGTGGACCCAGAAAAAAGGGAAAGAGAGGTGGAAGATGGCAATTCTTCTGAACATCAACCTTTCTTTGATTATCATAGAAGAGAACATTTCATTTCAGAGAGATGGAGTGAAAGTAAATCATGGCTAAGATGTTTTGGGTGGCCGTTTTTCTGTTGTGCTGTTTTTTGTTTGTTTGCTTTTCTGTTGATTTGTTTCTGTTTGTTTTTCTCCTCCAGTGGGAAGTCAAGGGTCTAAAGATGAAATATATAGCTGCTGGGAAGGAGAGAAGGGTGAAAGCCAGCTCTTTCAAGTCATGTGGAAAGTCTGTAACTTACCTGCAGAGTGCTAAGGCAGGCATTTCCATAAGCCGGGAACCATAGGCTCCAATATTTATGGGACGAATGCATAGCATAGGCAGCTTTGCTGTTCTCAGAGCTGATATCTTTCTCTATTCTACTGCCATCACTGCCATCTTCAATGGCATTTAATGTAATTTAATGTAATGTACTATTATGTCCACCACCACCTGGCATTTTCATGTGAAGTAGAAGTAAATAAGTTCTATATAATTGAGAAACACATAGAGTGTTACTTAGTTCCAGAAAGGTACGATGGGAGGTCAGAAGCAAGAATGGAAAGAAAAGGAGGAAGGTAAAGGGGAGAAAGAAGAAATATAAGAAAATTGAAACAACATTTCAAGCCGTTAAACAATCCTTTTTTTGGTGTGTGGGGGGCAGTGCTAAACCTCTAAGAAATGCAAAGGATTAATTACGGAAAGACTAGGTGATAGAAGTCCTTCATATAACTCAATCAGTGGCAAGGAAACATCATTGAACTCGTTTATAATTGAATATCCTGCCATCCGGGACAGATTTTAAGAAGTGTAAACTTAAAGAGACATAACAATATTAAATGTTCTTTGGTCTTTTTAACATTTGGGATAAAACATTCTTTTTAAAGAGAGAGCTGGGACTGTGGTGGGGCATCATTTAGGCAGCAGCAAGAATTGAATAGTATGTGATGTGTACTTGAACATCTTAATTTAAATAATTATAGTATCTTAAAGAAAAATGCATCTTAACCCCTGCGATGTTTGATTGTATCCGACAGGTTCAGTAAAAGGGCACCTATCTACTGTTGCGTTATGTGTCATATGTTCTGCACACTCATTAAAAATAATGAGAACATATTTAAAAGTCATTGCCCAGAGAATCTTTGGGGACAGGGCAGGAGAAGAAGTAAGTAGCAACAGATTGTTATTTAAGTGTCTATCTCTGTTTTACCAGCCCTTAGGGAAAAAAAAAAAAAAAGGTGATCTTAAGCTGATATTCTTTAATGATAAAGATCACACATTTTCCTGGAAAACCAGGCAGATGAAACATGTTCAGACTTCTAACTATACTCTCAAAATGAGATGGACTGTAGTGGCAATTTCACATGTGTGGTATTTACTTTGATAACAGCTGGAAAAGTCAACCACCATCAATTAAGGTAGTATTTTTTTCCCTAATCTTTAAAGATCCTTTACAAAATGAACACATTTCCTTACCTTACACCAAATGTACCTTAACAAATGTACTGATCACAGGCATGGAGGCAATTAAGCAAATCAAGGTTGTCCCCTAAGTTTTGTAACCAACTTCTTATCCAGCTTGCTCCAAATCAACAGCTGGCCTAAATTACTGGTAACATTTGGCTAACTGGATGATAAGATATAGTAGGTGGTTGGTCACAATATGACTTTTTCCGAGCTGTTCAAATATATAAATTCAGAAAATTCTTTTTCTCCAGTCTCCAGAAGCATAATCATAGCCACAGTCGCCACTAATAAGACATATGTCATGCACCATGAAAATGAGGCCAAATCTCATAGCTCTTCACTGTTAACTTTGCAAGACAACGTATTTAGGCCCCAGTTTTCTGAAATGTCATGAGATCTTTACAACATAGAACACTCCTCCTTCCACTACCTTCCAATCTCCAACAAAACCCATCTTGTGATAAAAGCCATTAAGTATTTACATTCTGACACCTGGAAGCCATACAACCCAGCAAAATAGCCCCGCACTTCCTCCATCTGTTTTAATAATGCTGAACCACAGCATTTATCATCACCTATTTTATCAAGACTAGATTTTGCTGACAATAGTTCAGTAGAATTCTTCCAGATATAAGTACTTCTTAGGGAGCAGCAAATGACTATTAATCCCTTGGCCTTGTGGGCTATTGAGCACATTCAAAAAGCTGGCCATGATTAAGGACCCAGTCTCTGAGCACATTGCACAAGTGAGAGAAGGTACAGCATTTACCTCAGTGAGGTGGAAGTCTTACTTAAAAGCTATTTCTGACTTTGTTTTTTGAGACAGGGTCTCACTCTGTTGCCCAGGCTAGATGCAGTGGCATGATCTTGGTTCACTACAGCCTCTACTTCTCTAGGCTCAGATGATCCTCCTGCCTCAGCCTACCAAGTGGCTGGGACTACAGGTGTGTGCCACCATGCCTGGCTAATTTTTTTTTTTTTTTGTAGAGATGGGGTTTCACCATGTTGTCCAGCCTGGTCTCAAACTCCTGGGTTCAAGCAATCCACCAACCTCAGCCTCCTGAAGTGATGGGATTACAGGCATGAGCCACCACACCCAGTCGTATTTCTGATTTTGACGATGTAAATGCTGGTAAGGGGCAGTGTTTCTGTACCTCACTTTCATCTTTAAAATGAGATAAATGGAAACTAAGCACAGTTGCTTTGTGACAGTTTAAGGATCACTTTCCTAGAATCTGTGATATCTCTAACTTGAGTCCAACCATAGTAAAAGGGTGGATGCTGGAATATTGTCCATGTAATGGGGTCAATGGAACATATCTTACCCTAAAGCCTCCAATAGAGGTGATAAGAGGAAAGGAAGAAGGGAAATGGGTATAACTGCAAACAAATACCAACAACCCAATATTCCAAGTCTCTCAAAAGTACCTCCTGTGATATGTGTCTGAATCTACAAGTTACAAGGTGGCACATAAAAAATTTTGAGCACAATCAAATTGAGTGTGGAAATTTTAAAGCACAATCGAGTTGGACCTGAGAAAGTCAAGTACAATTGAGTTTGCCTAAATGAATCAGGGGTAATTGAGTTGGGTAACTGCATTGCACTCAGCACTGGCCCTTTGCCAAAATGAGGGGCACATAGCCAAAAAGGCACAACTCAACTGGGCTTAAAAAATTTCACAGAATATTTTTCCCAGAACAAGACATTTTTCACAGGAGACATAAAGTTGAAAATTTGATCACTGAAGCTAGTCAGCAATAGCCACTAAGTTATCCTACAGGCTTCATGTTCTTTATAATGAAACCACTATTCCAATGGTTCTCAAACTTGAGTGAGCACCAGAATTATCTGGAAGGCTTGTTACAATACAGATTTCTAAGCCCACCTCCAGAATTTCTGGTTCAGTAGGTGTGGAGGGAGCCTGGCAATCTGCATGCTTACCAAATCCCCAAGTGATGCCAAGACTACTAGCCTGAGACCACACTCTGAGAACCATTGTTCTAACAAATTATTGCAGCCCAAATTGAAGCATTTAAAATACTTTAACACGATACTGTAAAAATACCGCTAACATTTCAAATTATAACATGATACTTATGGCTCTCATATGTCTTTACAAGTAAACTGTACAACTAGATTGTGCAAATGTCATCATGGTAACTTAAACCACTGAAGCTGTCATTTACATGGAAAACTATCCTAACCCTCATTGTGGCACGCAGCTGTAAATCAGAAATCGCTATTGCTCAGAGAAAATCCCTGCATATATTTTTTTAATTTGGTTTAAAAGAATTGTACAGGATAATAATATACTGAATGCAGACTAGATACAGACTAGCAGTAATGGCTCATTTAGTAATACGTTTCCCAGCCTTCTATATCACCAACTTTAGTAATGCGTAGCTTTCATTCATTCAGTCAACAAATATCCACTGAGCATACACTATGCTCTAGGCACAGGAAATAACAAGGATTAATATGATTTGGCACTCACTGTGCGTCAACAGCTGCACACAGTTAATTCTCACACAACCCTACAAGGTAGGTGTTGCTTTTATCCTCATTTTTAACAAATGAGGAAATTGAGACACTGAAAGGCTAAATGAAATTGCAAAGCAGGGATTCACATCCAGGCCATGAGATTCCCAAATGTGGCATCTTAAGGACTATTTCTTTATAGTTCTTAAGGTCTATTGGAGAAATTATAATATTGTGTGATTCGGGCGCATGCTGAGGTGAACCCTTAATATGGATGGAAAGCTGCGTAAGGTTCCATAAACTAGACTTGGGGGTTCAAGGAAGCTTTGCCCAAGCAAATGACCTATAAGTAGATATCTTAAGGAGTTTTGAGATAAAAGGGAGGAGAGGAGTGTCCTCCCTTTCAAAGATGAAGAGTTTGGAATGAGAGTAGAGAGTAGGGGAAGAAAAATGCCGAGGCTCACTGGCCCATAAAACAGCTTGGGATTCATGAAAGTCATAAAACTCTAGGATAATAAAAATTGTTTTCTCCTGCAACAAGTAATAATATCACAACACAGCCAAATTAAAAACTTTGGAATTATTGATATTTCTCACTCCTTCACTCCCACATCTACCAGTTGCCAAAACCAAAGTTTTCTACCACAATATTTTCTTCTCTCCATTCTTAACAGGTGGGAAAATCTAATCTGTGCACTTAATATCTCTCATTCAAATGAGCAATGGTTATAATAACAAGGAATATTTGTTAAATCCCATTCTCTGTGGCCCAATGTAAGCATTTTACATGCATCTCATTTAATCCTAACAACTAGTCTCTTGGGTAGACACTAGTCTAGTCCCTGTGTTACAGAAGAGGAATGGAGGCTCAGGGAGATAACTTCATCAAGGCCATTTAATCAATAAGTGATAGAGTCAAGGCTCAACCCAGGTGTGACGGATTCCAGGTCCCAAGCTCCTTACTGGTACCCTCTAGTGAATTACAATAAGCTCTTAATAGATATCCCAACATCTTTTTTCCCCTCCAAACTTATTCAAAATAGCACTACTTCTCATCTTAGTCTCCTGTTCGGTAATCTGTCAAACTGGGCTGCTTACGGTCTTATTGTACTTTAGTACTTTCTAATCTCTGAGTAACTGAAGAGAGTATTTCTTTTGCCCATGTGGCTCTGCATCTTGAAATTTATTCAATTCTCAAGTCTCTTTTTCAAATGCTGTCATGTTCTTGAAGGTTTTCTTGGTTCCTGACATACTTTGAATCCCTGTAACAATTTATTTGCTCATTTGATCCACTTATCACTCTTCTTTTCTTTATGGGCTAGAAGCTCCTTGAAGACAGGACACATCTTCAGATGAAGCTTCTAGCTTCATCTCTGGAAGTTCATGTTGCAGAGCCTTGACTAAGATTCAGTACATACTGGTTGAATGAAAATGCAGTAAGAAGAAAATGGAAATTATTGTAGGGAAAAGCTGAAAAAGAAACTCTGTCTTAGCAAGGACTTCATCATAAGACATGAACTGTGTTACTTGGAGAATACATAAAATATAGCAAGGTACTTTGGATTTTGCATAATTATTTAAATTCCAGAACATATCTCATGCACATTAGTTTAGGTAGAAAAATCATTTTGAAATTATCTTTCAATTTCTGCTACTTATCCACAAATAACTGCTATAATATTCATTTTTCCTTAAGTATCTCAGTTAATTAAGCATGGAATCATTTGAATCAAATAGCCAAAGGGAATGAAATAATATATCATTTAAATGAGGTTCATCTAAGATTTCAAACCAAAATTCTATAATTTATGATGCTAAATAATTTGACATTTCAAGATGTGAACTTTTTACTTAAAAATAAGAAAGAGTTGGAACCACATCTCGCATGCTAAGGTAGTCACAGGGACAGGTAACCATGACAGTGTTGGACTACACTAAGCTCAGCAACTGTTAAGTAGGGTTCCACATGCATGTGCATCATTTTTTCTCAGCAAAAGCAATATTCCTAAGTGAAGGTCAAAGCAGCATGACAAACATGGCTAACTTTTGGTTTTCAATCATGCCAGGCAGGAGAAACTTGCTTGCTTGAAATACAGTTAATCTCACTTGCAGAGGCCAGCATCAAATAGCAGGCAAACGTGGCAGGTAGAAATTATAAATACATTTGAAATTTTTTAAGCTCATTTTACCCACCAGGGGTTGCTGTGATTTTCAGGATGATTTAGAAATAAGGCAGCAGGTCAGAAAATGAAACGTTAAAGAGGTTAACAAAGAAAGGGCAGAATCTTCCTTTCTACCCAATAAAAAAAGAAGACATGCACATACATGCACATGTACACACACATACATAGCAAATAACTTTCTCCTTCTCTCTCTAGCTCTTAAAGAAATGAAGCCATGAAATTAACAGAAAAACTTCAGTTTTTCAGGAGCTTTCTTAAGTGGAAATACGGCTTTATCTGACATTTAGCATAAGAAAGAATTTCAGGTATCAGAGACAGAAAAGAATTTGTAGGCCACATCTCTTACAGAACTGACCACGCAAACCACCAGTTGATTAACTAGCATAGTTTTCATTTCAAGTATAGACACAGACACAGCAGTTTAGCCTTCAGATTCTAAATCTATTACCAAAACTAATCTCAAAGTACCTTCTGCAAAACTGTTCCTTATGTGAACACCTCTTCAGTAAACTCTCACCCAGTCAGGGGGTGAGGACACCAAAGGATCTTTCAGAATGGGATTCTGGAAAGATTATCTTTGAAATACCCTTCTTTTGGTAAAGATACTAGAAACAGCTAAATAGTTGTAATGTTATTATATAAATTCCTCTCACTTGATTTTCAACCCGGTCTGCCCCAGATGGAAAGAAGGTTGGCTAAATATGCTGCTAAACTTGGGACGTTAATCAATTGCTCAGGAAGGACACGAACTAGAATATAGGAGTTCAGCACAGTTCTTTTAGGTGGCAGGTCAGGAGAAATGACCAGGAAATGGATACCATGGCCTTCAGAATGACAGAGTCACATCCAAGAGACAATTCTATATTGGGACTTCCTGTATAACTGCTGACCACATGCTCCCTTAGCTTAAGTGTTAAGACTTTACAAGAAGCTAACGATAACAAGGAAGTAAGGAAGATTTAAGCGTCGGAAACTAGGCAGTGCAGTGCTGTTAAGAAGGTACAGAGCTCGCAGAACAGCAAGGCTTAACAAAAGAGGACAGTTTCTTAGAAGAGGAAACCAATAAACACAGTTTGTTTTCCTCAAAGGAGATAGAACACGACAAAAGTAGGAAGTGCTGTCCTTCCTTCATCCTGCCAGATTTTCAATGGAAAGTCAAGTGTGTACATCAATCATGATAAGGAAGAAGAGACCAAAGTGATATCACCTTCAAGTTTTTGAAAGGAAAACACAAAGATGTATCACATAACACACTTCTTTATTTTGCCCTTTCAAACAGGCCGGTGTATGCCACACTATGAAGTAATTCCCACTGAAATAGCCCAGCACGTGCCAAACATCACCTCTTTTTAAACTTCCTGCAAGGTTCTTGCCTCTTGGCATTCGAGGCAGGCATTTGGGCTGGAAAAAGAGTGCTTTTCCTTATTTCTCCAATAGGAAGGCTATGGGTCCACGTGACTTAGGTGCTTATAAACCTCAAATGCCCTTGCTTTGCTATGGTGACAAAGAAAATTCCACATATTTGGATGGTTGACTGTCAACTATTTTTGAGAGTCTAGATATTTGCTAGAAACTTCTAAAGGAATGAATACTAAGCATATACCCTCCAAATTTAGTATAGAACTAGAAACAATGAGAACAAATAATTTGTTTGCACTCATAATCTCACAGTTGCACAGTTAACTTAATATGCTCCCTGGTGGACTTGGCCTATGTCATTCTGGGATAGAAATCAAATTTCACTAAATTCCATTAAATGAGAGTGAAATAACACATACAGCTGCCTCCCTTATCAATTTGACTGGTTATAAAAATGTTGTTTTTAACTCAGTATTTTGGATCCCAGAATACATTATAAAATAATAAAAAAATAAAACAATCATTGTTCAAAAATAGTGGTTAGTCCCAGGCAAGGCTGCATAAATCTATCTACCCCATAATATATCTAGAGTATAGAATTGTGTTTACACTACTACAGAAATGGTCATGTATTAGAAAAAAAAATTATAGCTAACGTATTTTGAGAACTTACAATTAGCCAGAAACTATGCTACAAGCTTTGCCTGTATTATCTCATTTAATCTTCACAACAATTCTTACAATACAGATGAGGAAACAGCCTCTGAGTGATGTTCCGAATGGCTCTACATCACACAGCTAGTAAGTGGTGGATACAGAAGTTGAATTCTGGGATGTGAACTCCAGAGACAATGTTAAATGTTATTCCAGTTGCTAACTTCCAGATATAATTGCCTTTGATGAGGAATGAATTCAGAGCTTCAAACTGGGATAAATCAGCATCCCTTACCTGGTGGAGGGGCATAGCTTCTAGGAAGAAGGTATTAACTGTGGGGTTAAAAATTCCAGAGGACATATGGGAGAAAGGTATAAGGAACTACTAGACAGAAACTGCAGGCTCGAGGGTTTAAGTTCCTAGTTGGAGTTCTGTGGTTGCATTCTTTTGCATGCTCAGGGGCTGCCTGAAATATTTCTGTTTTTATGCAGGGTTTTATTTCTTCCAGGACCACAGTTCAATGGAATACACAGTCAAAACTTATTTCTTTGCTCTCCTATCTCAGAAATAAGCACATAGTTCCACTGAGGATTTTGGAGAGTTTTTATTTCTAACAACCTAAATATCAGACAAGAAATGAAAGGGCCTCTTGTGGTGCATACACATAACTGCCCCCCTTTTTATTGTTTCTTTTCACTTTGACCCTTGTAGAGAAAGACCAAGGTCTTTGGATAAATAAAAGATTGAAAGAAGAATCCATCTGTATTTTAGAAAAAAAATCCAGACTCCAAGTTTCTGCATCATTTCTCTAGAAAGTGTGAGGAGATGAGACAGACATTCAGGATTCTACCTTTCAAATGGTTGGGTATGGAGGAGTCAAGTAGAGGAATGGAAATGGGGACTATATCTGCATGACTCAGATCACTCTTTTTTTCTTATTTTCCCTATTTTGTTACAGATCTCCCCAGAGTACACAATAAGGAAAGGGAAAAATGGGTAAGATGATGGGAAAGAGAAGGAAAGGGAGAAAGAAAATTCCATGCCAAGGAAACTTGGAAACTGTCTGAAGAAACAGATCAGGTCTACTTTCCAATCCATACAATAACTCTTTACATATTTGATAATAACTGTCATGTCTCCTAAAATTTCTCTTCTTCAAGTGAAACATCATCAGTTCTGTCAACTAATCCTTACTGTTCCAATAACCTAACTCTGGGAACCTACATGTGCCTTTGTCAATTCTTATACAGATTCAAAGGAAATAACAAGGAGTAAATACAAGTCCTTTTATCACATTTGTTTCTATTTGTTATTAGCTACAAAATCCCTTCTGAATTTTCTTTTCTTTTTCCTTTTTTTTTTTTTTTTTTGAGACAGAGTCTCGTTCTGTTGCCCAGGCTGGAGCGCACTCGTGCAATCTTGGCTCACTGCAACCTCTGCTTCCCAGGTTCAAGCAATTCTCCTGTCTCAGCCTCCTGAGCAGCTGGGACTACAGGCACATGCCACCATGCCTGGCTACTTTTTGTATTTTTTAGTAGAGACGGGGTTTCACCATACTGGTCAGGTTTCGAACTCCTGACCTCAGGTGATCCACCTGCCTCGGCCTCCCAAAGTGCTGGGATTACAGGCATGAGCCACTGCACCTGTCCTCCTTTTGAATTTTCTATAGCATTCTTAAAAGCACAATTTCAATAAAATAAATAATATTTATTTATGGTAAGAAAAGAAAATGAAAACCTCTCATAACCAATATCCCAGATGTATCTGCTTCTAGTTGTTAACGTTTTAAAATGTAATTTAATGATACTGCACAAATAATTTTACATCCTACTTTTAAATATAGTATTAGATTATGAACATTTTCTCATGCTATTATCAATTTTTTTTTTTTTTTTTTTTTTTTTTTTTTTTTTTGAGACGGAGTCTCGCTCTGTCGCCCAGGTGGGACTGCGGACTGCAGTGGCGCAATCTCGGCTCACTGCAAGCTCCGCTTCCCGGGTTCACGCCATTCTCCTGCCTCAGCCTCCCGAGTAGCTGGGACTACAGGTGCCCGCCACCGCGCCCGGCTAATTTTTTTTTTTGTATTTTTAGTAGAGACGGGGTTTCACCTTGTTAGCCAGGATGGTCTCGATCTCCTGACCTCATGATCCACCCGCCTCGGCCTCCCAAAGTGCTGGGTATTATCAATTTTTTACAGAAACCATTTTAAGTACTTCTATATTTCACTGGCAAGCTATCTAGTTATTTATCTAACCAATGCCTTACAGTTATACAGGACCCAATATATCACTGCAATAGATAGAACTTGAGGGGAAAAAATCAATGTACATGAATTTTTTCCACATCTTTGATCATCAGTTTAGGACAGATTACTTGAAGTCTAGTTACTAGGTCTAAGGGTATACATTTTTAATAAGGCTTTTGAACTCATCTTTCTCAAGATGTCTATCCCAGCCCTCAAGAATAGGTTAAATACCCTTGTTCTATGTTATCATGGCACTCTGCATTTTCCCTTCATAATCTTCATCGCCATTTTGAATACTTGGCTATCTTTTTATTTCCTGTTAGACTGTAAACTTCATTAAAGTAGGTCCACAAATTATTTTGCTGACTGTGTTTTGCCTAGGGCTTCGCACGTAGCACATATTCAATATATATTTTATTGAATTAGTTGCATACTGTTGAATAGTTGCTTATTGCTAAAGGTGTTTGAATCTGTGCCCCGGAATCACTGTTTACATATACCCACTGGCTGTATCAATGTTTTAAAAATGCGATACCCCAAATGGGGTAAAATACCCTGAGTGTGATTCAATTTTGGTTATGAATGAAGCCTGTGATTTAGAACTCGTTTCTCAGCTATAATGAGTTCATTGAGTGTATTAAGCTCGGCATTAAAAATTCAGTGAGACTGAGATCTGAACATTACCAACTCTCGGGGCAGAAAATGTCCTTCTTGGCGGGCAATGACCAGCGATGCTGTCTCCCCCTGCTTGGTGCTCCTGAGCATGGCCACAAGCTCTTCCTGGGTTCGTCCGGTGACATCTCTCCCATTTACCTAATGAATAAAAGCATATGAACAGCCACAATCACAATACTTGTTATCTCCTTCTACACTAGATAGTTTTTGAAAACAAGAAGCAAATGGGCTCCCATACTTGAGGAAGCTCTGAAAAGATGATAACTAAATACATGGGCAAAACCCAACAATATTTCCCATAATGCATCATCATGATGCTGGATGAACTCAGAGTCGGTAATTAATATCAGCAGTTTTTCCTAAGACATCACATTCTTATGTGGGGGAAACTGGACTGACAGATACCAGAAAATGATTCCGCTTAAGGTAGAAAGCAGATTGCAAAGGCTTACTTAGCGCCATTTTCTGCCTAATTCAACAAGCAGAGTGAACCATGATCACAAGGCAAATTTCTCTGCAAATACGAACCTAGCAATAGAATCCTGCAGGTTTTAAACATATTTAGAAAATTATAGTCACCAGATTATCATAGATTAAGGGAAATTCTAATTTGGAGCTACAGTAGTCATTTGGTGCATCTTCTTTCATGATCTAGAACAACATGAAAAGCTAAAGTGTTGCTTTTAATGAAGATGTTTGCTTCAAAGGTAAATGGACAATATATAATTATCAAGACGATAATGTCCTCAGACAAAAATAAATGAAAACAAACAGCCACCCTCTTGCTTTTGGTATCCCAAATATATCTCTCTGCAAAATCCCTTCCAGCTGTTTTCATTGCTATCCTAGCACAGATGATAGGGATATGGACAAAGCATAGAATGACCTGAGATACTCTGGCTTGTCCTGGCCAAGTTTGAAAAGACTATTACAAAGACTTTTTAACTTTTTAGCCCTAACTGAATATATGTTGAATTCTTAGATTCAATCCAAATTTCACAGGGACTCTAAGAGGTAGAAATAAGAGAGGGAAGATCAGAAATGGTTTTCACTATCATTTGGCCCCATATCACTGACCTTATTGGGGATTTACAAAGTTAGACTCCTCATTAACCAGTTCTATAGTTAAAGTTCTTATCTTGTCTATAAGTAATAATTTTTAATATATATTAGGTTCAAAATAAAAATATTAATATATTTACATATATTTCAATGCAATTAAATGGCATTATTTAAATGCCAAGAAATATTTTCATACAACTATTAATTCCAATTCTTACCTCCAAAATTCTGTCCCCTGATTGTAGGCGGCCATCTTTTATTGCTGCTCCCTTTGGTAAAATGTTTTTTACAAAAATGGGACCGGGACCATGTATGGAAGAGTCTCTGGTAACCACAGTGAAACCAAGTCCTTCAGGGCCTAGTGTATAAGAACAGGAAAATGTATAGTCATCTTAAGCATGAGTAATATTATATTCAGTCTTACAGTAAGATCTACCTAATTTAGACTAATATAGAATCAGTAAAATATTTACATTCTGGGACATTTTAAATATGCTTCAGTTATTTGTGTTTCAAATGCAGATTATAGTTCCTGACAGGCCATGACAGTATCAAAGTGAATTTAGGGCCCAATCCAGATGTGTAACACTTTGGCTTATTCAGGTTCTAGAAGAAATGCACATGTTATCCAGATGCCCAGGAGATTGACTTCTCAATAAACCATAACCTGACTTCATACTTCCTGAGAAGCAAAAGGCCATTTGACTTAAGTTCTGTCAGCCTCTTACATGAGCTGGACAACCTATGGCTGAGCCCTCTACTTGTGTCTCAATTCCTTGTACTGCTGCATCCCATTGTCTGGTCAGCAAGCATCTTGTTGTTCCTGTCCTGTTCTCCTGCATCTCCAATTTCTCCCTTCTCATGTATTTTTCACTCAGTCTAAAGGTATGCTCAGATTTCTCTACCCTGAAGGATCCTTACTTCCATCTTACTGCTTCTTCAAGCTTCCATCACCAGTGACCTACCCGCGACCATCTCTGTTGGTCTAGCTTTGATGATTCCCACCACTTATTTTTTTTTTTTTTTTTGAAATTGACTCTCTTTGGTTTTCATGTCTTTATTTTCTGATTATTTTCCTATCTTTGATCACATCACATCCATCACTCTCTCTAAATCTTACTCATTGTCCTCCCATGTAGCCACAGATGTTCCTCAAGGATCTGTCTTAGACCAGTTTGTCCCCTAGACTCCCTGCCTTGGCCAGCTCCTGGATCCAAGTATATCTTCCAATGAAAGAGACCTAAATCTCTATGGCTCCAATGTCTCTTTTTGATATCAGCTTCCTAGATGTCATCATGCACATTTCAAACTTCACTATGTACCTCCCTCTCCAGTCCAGATCCTGACCTTTTCAAATATCCTCATCTACTTAAAATTCTAATTTCTAGCAATGACATCTCCATTATGCAACTTGCTCTGGCTGAAAAACCTCAGGAATCACTGTAATTCTTCTCTTTTTTCCTTCCTACAACCAGTCATTTATTAATGCATGCCTATTATGTTTCCACCTTTAGACAGATGCAGTGCACCCTTTACTTATCCTTTGTTGTTTGGCCTTGTCTTCAGTGTATCTTTTTGCTGTCAGATTAATCTTGCCAAAGTACAGATGTGATGTCGTATCTTTCATTTTTGCATTCAAGGCTTTGTAATAAATTTTTAAGGTGATTCTGTGTCTGATTCATTTTTCTATATTCAAAACACCCAAATCTGTGTCTTACACACAGCTGGATCATTTGTACAAAAAATACAACTGAGGCATTTAAATAAAAAACCTGATTGATAAGCACACTGAAGTATTTTTGTACCTACTAGTCAATGTATTTTATTCCCAGAATAGAATTCTTATAGGTGAATGAAATTTTGATCAGAGAATCTTTCCAGAATAATTTTCATATCCTAAATGATGATACATTATTTGTTTTTGAAAGACCTTAATAGTTTTTCTAAAACTACCTTTTGACCATAAATTCTCTATTAATTCAGACAAGAATCTATAAGATCTTGGTTTCTTTTGAGTTGTCTTGAAAAACACAGAATTTCAGAAGGTTGCAATGGGGGAAGGTAATATAAAGCAGAGGTTACAAAATGAACAAAAGCACAGAAGCACATGAATGCTTATGTATGTGTGTAGAATACTGCATAAATATGCATGTACACACATGATCTCTTCTCACTGATCTGTGCTTGAAATGGATAGAAAAGTTGAAAAAGATGAAGAAAGAAAATATTATACATGCTTTTGAAATTAGGTATGTTTTAAATGTTTGTGACGTTGAATCAGAGAAATTAGTAAACATTACATATTTGCTTTCTGAGGAGTAAATTTTTGTTGTTAGAAGACTGTCTTAGAAAAACAATATGCTTTTTGGACATGGCCTAAAGGATGCTTCAAGAATCACTAATCGTGCTCAGAACAGGGACAACTGAATTTTCATGCCTATTTGGTATTAAGTTGTAATACAATATTGCTCTGTTGATATCAGGTTTGCAATGATTCTTTCCACTTCCCAACATGTCTTTATTATTTTCTTGTTTAAAATAATCTATACACTCCGAAGAAAAGAATAAAAAAGTACAATTTCAAGAAATTTAAGTTACCTAAGTATACACTTAAATCTATTCTTTGATACAATTAAATGAAGGGAGAATTAACTAAATTAGCCTTAATGCATTTCTCTTAACCAATTTTACATGTTACAATAATAGAATGCTATTAGGCATAATTTAATAATTACCTTTCTTTAGGTCAATCTTAATTTTCTTTGCATTTTTATTGCTGCCAAATCCCATGAGAGGCGAGAGTGAGGGAGAGGATGGTTTTCCTCCCAGCCTTGGTACTCGGGGACTCTTGTTTTGTTGCAGGGAAGCTGATGCATCTGTTTCAGGACTATCGGTTCCTGTGAGATTTGCTGTCTTTAGTCCCGATTTTCCATGGACAGGAGGCGGCACTTTGGTTTTCAAAACGCCATCATTATTACCAAAAATGTTAAGAGAGCCAATGACTGACTTTTCATACTGTTCACGGTTTTGTGGAGGAAGCACGTGGAGGAGCACACTTGGAGATTTCATTGCCTGGCGGAAGACATCTTGAGCCCTGGAAAGAAAGTTGATAAATGTATGATGACCCTGCTTTGAGGTGCAGCATCTTCTAAAGTACCCCAGGAGGATGGCAACCAAGAGCAGCACAGTGGCTAATCATAGGAGACACGATCAATATTCCTATCAGAATGACTTTGCCAACTACATACTAGTTACCACTTACTATTTGCACTAGGTGCCCCTGCACTAGCTTATACATGCATTATTAGCATGCATCCTTCTCTAATTTAGAAAGCACATTCGGTAAGTATAAATAGCTTTCATTTCACGGACATGGAAGTTGAGGCTCAGAGAGATGAAATAATTTATCCAATGACCCACAGCTTTTACATGTTTCTAAAGATGAAAATCTAACCAGAAGTGATTACCAAAGTGAATATAAAAAGCAAAATAGATATTTTGGATCAGATCATTAGTTAGGTTTCTTTTAGGACATCCTTCTAAAGTACAGATCTTCTCTAACATGGGTTGTGTTACACAAGTTCAAGTTTGACATCCATGTTTGCTCATGGAGACATTTTGGCAGGTGCTTTGGCTGTGCCAAAATGTCTCAGTGGAATTTCAATCCAACATGCACCCTTCCTGTTACTCTCACACAGAGCAACTGTGTTTTTCACTTTTATGACCTAACACTTTGTGTTCTTCCTCAAACTTCTTATAACATTTTCTTCTTCCTCATGCCTCTAGATGCCCTGTGCCCAGGTCAAACAACTACCTTTCCCACTCTTTCTTGCCCAGAAGATATAAATGAAGGCGTTAAAGGAAAGCTCTTTAGAAGCGGCTGGTTCAGTAGAGAGACAAAAACTTTTATTGTTCTCCTGTTTCTCTTCCCTATTTCTTGAAACTCAGAAGTGACTGAGGAAACTCAGCAGCCATCTTGTGCCCATTTTTCCACTGAAGGATAGTAGCCACATGGCGAGATGGCAAAGCAGAAAACGGAAGCTGCCTGACCCACTGGCGGCTGTGCAGCTGCCGCACTAACTGTGGAGTGCCCTCTTCCACGTTTGCTTGTTGCTAGGAAAAATTAATGTTAATCTTGTTTCAGCTATTCTTATTTCAGGTCTCTGTTCCTAGCAGCCACAGCACATAATAACTAATCATAATCCCAACTGCAATCTGATTCCTTAAACCCTACCCCGCACCCCCCTTTCTGAAGTGCTTAATTCTGCAAATTGTTAGGGGAGAAGGAAGATTTCACATAGGCCTAACTCCACCTAACTCCTGTGGTCAGTTCCCCTATGTTATTTTTGCTTGCATAGGAATCAGTTTCTACTCCATACTAACTCTATACTAAATTTTTATGAGCCTCAGTTTCCACCTCTATAAAACAGAAGTAATAATGATTGCTTTGCATAATTATCAAGTCCTTGTGAAAAAGCACAGTAGTATATTAAAAATTATTACTAACTATAGTTTTGTCTATCATTCATTATTTTAACACAATAGATTCTTCTAAGGTTTCATTTCTTTTCATACTTAGCAGCCAGTACCCACTTTTCCTCGACCCACAACCACTCATCTTTGTCCACAAACACGCATACAATATTGACAACTAATGCCCAGCGAGAAGATGTATTAGGAGCTGTTTTGGTCAGAAACAAGAGGGTGGTGATGACTCCCAAGGATTATTAGTACTTAGTCCTTTGGTCCAGAATCCCACTGCAATGCCAACACACATTAAAAAAATATGCATCAGATTACTATACACTCTAATTCCTGGGTACAGGAAGCTATTCCCTTAACATTTTCACATGCAGAAAGATGATTTCTTGAGGGAGACAGTATTATTTATTTATTTATTTTGAAGACGGAGTTTCTCCCTGTCACCCAGGGTGGAGTGCAAAGGCGCGATCTCGGCTCACCGCAACCTCTGTCCCCCAGGTTCAAGCGATTCTCCTGCCTCAGCCTCCCAAGTAGCTGGGATTACAGGCGCGTACCACCACGCCTGGCTAATTTTTCTCGTACCTTTAGTAGAGATGGGGTTTCACCATATTGGCCAGTTGGTCTTGAACTCCTGACCTCATGATCTGCCCTCCTCGGCCCCCCAAAATGCTGGGATTACAGGCATGAACCACTCCGCCTGGCCAGGAGACGGTATTTTATTTTTTCTGTTTGTTTCTATGATTCGGTGAGTCCTCAGACATCTCTCACAGATTTTTTAGTTTAAGGAAGACTGCTGACACCAAGAAAGTTAATTAATAAGCTGAACCAACAGTCTGTGAAAAGAGCCGTTAAATACCAGTTTAAGTGACCCATAGCCCAAGAAAAACAAACCCGTTCAACGACGCCCCAGTAAAGACAGCCAGGCAGGAAGGCTTGTGATATTCTGTAGTTTAGCATTCTCAGACCTGCCAGAGACATGTGTGGGCCACCTTTGAGTAGGCTAAAACATTAGAAGCATTCGAAAATGGATATCCTGGATCGTTCAAAGGGAACTGACTAGAAATTCTACCTACTATTTTGATCATAATGAGTTCAGTAATGCTTATAACCATGCTAGGGATCAAGAAAGTAAATAAAACAATGAAAAAATGCTTACTGAGCAAAGGTTTTGTCTACGAGATCCACATTGTTGATTTTTACAATACATTCATTTTCGTGAAATAGTCCCTCCCGCTTGGACCTGCTGTTGTCTTCAATGCCTCGGATGAAGAGTCCTAGAATCCTAAATGCAAAATTTAGATTGAAATATAATTACTGAATAATAAATGCTAATTATTTCTCCACTTGCAACTATTCAGAAATACATATTGATTTCTATTTACAAAAGAAATTTTACTTTATATTCAGGCAACTGTTTGTTATTTTAATCCCTAATCCAAAAAAAGCCAAAACTGACTACAAGAGAAAAAGCCCTTCTAGATAAATATGCATAAGTACCAACATCAATCTGCGACTTCATTTCTCATGCTTGCAGTAAACTTATTGAAAGGCTAGTTTACTGGAGTTGACACCAAAGACTTGTGGTTTGGAGAAGGGCATCACACCTGACTATAGTAAGTCTGAGTTAGTGCCAACGTGGCAACGTGATGTTTAGCAGTGGGAGAGCATTAGGATATTCACAGTAACATTTTTGCAGTCTTACTACCTATTCTAAAAATTTGCATTTTAAGAAGTAAAGAAACATTTAAGCTCAGATCATATTACTCAGTTTAGAAGGAAGCTGGATCCCATTTGTTGGTGCTACCAAATCAAGTATGTGTTGGGTGTTTCCTGTGTGATCAGGATGGAGGAGTATGAGACAAAGTCATAGGACCAGGACCAGGTAATTTCACTATACATTTGGGGGACAGCTGAAGTCCAAAAACTAAAGACATTAACAAGCCTAGAGCCTTCAAAGATTTGAGAGCTAACTAGATGGGAGACCAGTGCCACACACAAAGGCTTTGAACAAACAGCCAATGAACTTAATCTGATGGACCTGGAGGGGGGCATCTAGCAGACCCCGCTTCCGAGTAGGGCAGCGACATGATGAAGGCAGGCTTTGGGAAGAGTTGTCCAAAATTTCAACCAAGAAGAGGCTAAATTAGAGAGGATACAAAGAGGCCTCTGGATTTTTGTGGCTGTAGCTTAGAATCAGGAGGGTTGGAAGAGAAGGAAAGAAGAAAGAAAACTATAGCCACTAGAATTAAAATATGTGTGTGTGTATGTGTGTGTGTGTGTGTGTGTACACACATACATACACAATTCTGTTACATATATAAACCAAAACTAAACCAAAAACCGTAAGAAATGGAACTTATACATATTTTCATTATTTCTTATTTGTGGGATTTCCCTTCTCCTCGTGATGTGACAAGGCTTAGCTGTGTCCAGAGTAAGAAAGATAGATATGTCCTGCAAGAGGAGTCTGCTACATTTGGAGAAACTGTGATCTGCACTTTATCAATACTCTTGCTTTTCGACTTTGTCACTCTCTTTTGTATAAAATCCATGTGTGCTATTACAAAATACCTTCACATTAAATTTCAAACCTAAATAAAACATGAGTACATTTTATGTGTAAATAACAGGGTCAGCCATAGAAAAGGGGAATCTACAATGCAAGTATTAGAGAAAGTAGTCCTCCTGTTTGGAGTGGCCACGGAGTTGAACCTCTGTCCCCTTAATGAGCTCCCATCATCTCAAGACCTCAACAGGCATGGCAGTGATATTTGGGTCTCACTTCAAAATGTTAAATGAATACAGCACGCTGCTGCAGGAGAAAGAACAGCAAACAGCCATGCCATCTACTGCAGGGAAGGCTCAGGGTCATAGGCACAAGTGTGCAGTGGGGTCTTGTGGTTCATTTCCTAGTTCCAGTAGGTTAGCAAATTAGTCATATTCTGTGTTACTTTAATCTTGAAACACAGTATTAAAAATGAAACTATTTGACACATTAAAATAATAGATAAAACTTATGGGTTTTTTCCCTAAATTAAACAGCATCCTAAGAGTTCACATTTTGGATTTTTGTTAGGGTGGATTCACAATAACTTGATTCATTAGGAGGCTCACATGTGGTTATAAACGTGTTTATGTAAGTGATATTTTTTTAACAAGCATTCAAGTCTTCCTTTAATTTAATTCAGTACATCATCAGTCATGTAATGTTACTCCCTAGGATTTAATTTCACATTTTGGGAGATGAATTAATTCTTTCGGGCCACTGGGTTGCAATTTAGCTGGCATATTACAGCTGGAGTATGCTATGTGAACCTCACTGATCTAAATAATCTAACTTTCCATGAAAAATTTATTGACAGAATAAGCCCAACTGTAAAACCCATGTGTCAGAGGTAATTTTGGTAAAATGTAAAACTGACTGATTTTATTAGTTTGGTCCCTGGCAACAAACCACTTCTGCCCTCTCTGCTCCGTGGAAGGGATAGATTCCCTCCAGTTTGATTTCATCCAGACCAATACAAGAAGGCTCAGAAAACAATACCTCATTATCCTCTTTGCCCTGAACTGGTGGGCTGTGGTAGCTGTCTCATTTGGGACCAAGACTCGCAGAATTTAAAGATTAATGCTGTCGAGGAGTTATAGGCCGAGACTAACCAGTTAATTTGCATTAATGAACAGTGATAAAGGATGCTGAAATCCACAGCCTCACAGAATTAGAGGGGTAACAATTCTTCTTGCTCTTCTAATTATCATTTAGGCACCAACATCTTCTCCTTGCCCCCTTCCTGTTCTTTTCCCAATGTCACACAGCCTCAGTGACTCTACCAGCTTAGAATTTTGGTTTGAACATCTCTTCTCACAGTCTTTATCAGCCTTCATCCAGTCCTTCTCCTTCTCTCTCCTGTTTAGCTGTCTTCCCTATGAAACTGAGGCATATTATGCATCTGTACTGAAACGAATTAGATTTCATGTTTTTAATTCACAAAAACCACATTGATTTTAAAAATCTGAATAAAATTAAGTTGCATTTTAGTTGCAAGAACTTTGGTGTTTTTTTTATGTTTGCTTTGTTTTTACTGGGAAAGCCAATGGCCCTCAATACAAGCAGCATTCAGCACCCCTCTGCGATGGTATCTAATGAATTCATTGAGGCTTTATCTAGCAGAGCAGCCACTATAATTTACTTATTAGGATGATCTAACTTAGATTAGGTTTCTTATTCAACAACAGGTGTGGCAACATTTTTCTAAAAGAAAAAAAAATAAAAAAATACATTGGAGGCAAAGCCAATTACAGTAATCTTAGTAAAAAAATTAAATGTAAATTCTAATTTAAAATAATGGCACAAACCAATAAATGGAAGGAAATTAAGAGCAAAGTATACCACTATGACCTTAACGAAGCCCCTGTGCTCACACAGTGAAACCATATGGCATTATGAAGTCAGACACTTGTCTGACATGCTCTATACACAGTTGCATCTAGACACATGGGTTGAGTTAAGCGTGCTGTTTCAGCCTGTACTCATTACTCCTTAACTTTTATTGGCTCATGTCTCCACTTCCATAGCATTTTTAATGTTTTTTAATTAAATTTCCTTCCTATAATACTGGTGGATAGCAAAAAATAAATAATAGAACTATTTCACCAAGTTACTGAACAGTTAACCATGAACTTATAATAAAACTACATTTCTGAATCAGGCTTTTTGGTTTTAGCCAAAATAATCATCAGACTGATGATTTACACGTTCATACATTAGGTGTTTTACAAGGAACTTTCACATTTTTAATGTTATTTAATCCCCATAACCTTGATGTAAAGTAGGTACTCAAAAGGGGCAAGTTTAGGGGACTTGCTCAAGGTTATAAAAAAGAACACTGGGATTCAAATCCAGTTGTTCTGAAACCACGTCCAATACTCTTCCTTCTATTCTACAAGGCTTGTGCTAGGAATCAGAACCAGGAAAAGGAAGGGAGGAAATCAATAAAGCTTAGTGTATTTCCCTCGTTTGAAGTGAGAGAATGTGATTTCTGATCTATAGGATCAGCTTGTTTTCTGAACTACTGAAAATGAAGTCTAGTGACTGTCACACTGTATATTTTCTCATTTTTGGAAATTGGGAAGATCTTGTGCTCTATCCCACCTTCATTAAACTAAAGAGCCTGGTCATTTAATAGCTCTGGTAGTTCACAAAATTCTGTCAGTATACTTCTGCCAAAAGTCATTAGAATTTCTCATGACAACTGAGTAAATATTCACCCTATCTATCAAAAACAACCTCAGTTTGTCCTATGCCATAACCCATAACATTTATAAACACACTTATTAACACACACAGGAAATGAGACAATAAGAGTTGCTAGCTTTTTGGTTCATTTCTTTTGGGGAACATTCATTCCAGTGAGAGCTTGGCATCAGATGTTATTTGCAAAAAAAAAAAAAAGGTGATGACTTCGCAATTACAGGTAGCAGATGGCTACCTGCTGAATATGATGCCAACCAAAATACCATGACTAAATCTGTTCTTTTCGCTATAGGGCAGACTGAATTGAATAAATATTCAGAACCACTAAATTAATACTATATAACCTTTGAGAAAATTTTAGTTCTTGAAAGAACAATGAAGTGAGAAGTTAGGAGAGCTGGATTTTGTATGACCTTGGGAAAATCAATTGACTTGTCTCGTCTTTGATATCCTAAACTAAACTAAGGAATCCCCCCTTTTCAATGATGTGTTTAAGAAAATAAATTCAGTAAGTTAACTAAAATCATGTCATGTTAGTGAAAAACTGATTTTCTTTTAAGTTTCTGACAACCCTTGTCAATATCAATCTAGTGCTAAATGTGGTCGTCTTATTACAAAGTGACATAATATCTAAAACAAGTTCAGTACAATTGTTTTAACAGGGGTAATATGAACTCTGTGGCACACACTTTAATTTCCATCAAGAGAACAAGTTTTAAATCCAGTTAGATAGATGTAAATTTCAAGAAGTGTTGATACGATCTACAATGCCATTTTTACCAGTGTGGATTTAGCAACATAATGTATTAAAAATTCCAAAAGGATGTGGTAAATTATTTTTAATTGACTAAATTATATTTTAGGAAAATACAGCATGATGACACATTGCTTTTATAAAGCCATCATACATACACAGCATCAGATATAGCTACTTAAAATGTTAGAATATTTATTATTCTAAATGCTACATACTTGAAGAATAACAGGATATATCAATTTGGAATTATTATACTCACTTGTTGAAGTATATTCTGGAATATTAAAAAATTCAGTTGCAACATTTGTCTAACAATATGTTAACATCTTTGCCAAGGATTCTGTTTACTATGTGTCACTGATAAGGATACTTTAAGAAAGTATTTCATAATTAATTGTAAATGGAGAAACAGTGATTGATTTCTTTCCCCATTACATCCTAAAGTCAATTATTTTATTTTGTTTCCAACACTTAAGTGGCCAACAGAAGTATGTCTTGAGGTATCCATTTGAATAATAGAATTCACATTTAATCTCCTTGTGAAAAATATTTGGGAAAAGGAGCTCAAATCAGGGTTTTCATTAGCATGAGCTTCTGGAATGAGAAAAACATCTTACCTTCCACTCAGAGATGAAAAGAAGGGCACTACATGTATTCCCAATGGGCCTCCTTCCCCAGAAATCTCCACTGTTCTTGTCATATCACTGGGGCAGAAAAAAACAAGAGCACAAATGAGTGTCTGCTAAAAAACAGAGGGAGCACATCTAAAATACACACACACACACACACACACACACACACCCCTGCTCAGGATTATATCAACTAATACAACTTCAAAGTCAAAAGAGTACATAATTTATTGGTATGTTCAGATGATCCAGAAAACAAAATGTTTAAAAGTCTATCTGATTTCTTACTTTTACTCCTAGAAGAGGAACAAATGGAAATGACTACCTACAAAAATAACTTCCTACTTAACTTAATCTGCATAAATCAACATATTTTAAAAGAGGTACACAAAAATTAAAATTTTCCCCATTAAAACACACTTGAAAATTGCTGTACAGATCATAAAAAACACAGAAGAAAGCACATCGATGCTTCAGCATAAAGTAGGCTTCTTCTCTGGAACAGAGGAAAAATGAAATAAAATATTTATTAGAAAAAGCACAGAATTACGTGTTATAATGGCTGTGAAGCCACAGTTGGTAATACATATGGGCATGTTCAAAGCAATATAAATCAAAACTCAAACTTGCTTTTCAATAGGGCATCAGTTCTATTCAACAGAACAATTCCAAATTTTCACCTCCTATACTTTTGTAAAGGTAGAAAAAGAGGTTGCAAAGCCTGAAGAAAATGTATTATAGAAAGAAATAGAAAGCCTGACCTGCCTAACCTACCCCTGATTAAGGAAAGGATCAGCTAGAAACATTAATGGATTGTGTGTATGACTGAAATATAGAAGGCACTGGGAGCTTTTGAGTACTAAAGAGTAGAACTACCAAGTTTTCATAAAGATTATAAATAATAACTGTGAACAATTACTGGCTCCGTTAATCCCACAGAGAAAATATAATTGTCATAAGAAAATAATAAAGTTGAAGGAAACATCCACGTTATGGAAATTGTAAGCCGGTCTCCATTGTTCCCTATTTACATGAAAATGACCTGAAACTAGATGTCAAATTAAGAGCTACAGCTGCTACAAATGCTTTCTGCTCCAAATTGAAAATGGTGAAATTTTGACTTCTTGCTGGAAAGTTGAGAACAGCATTAAGCAAAATGCATGATGAATTCACTCTGCACGAAGTATTCTCTAAATTATCAGCAATCTAAAATAAATACATTAAATATATTCTCATCAGTGGATTAGGTTGATTTTTAATGTGTTTTCTTTGCAAGCCTATTATCATTAAGAAATGCAAAAAGGAGCACATCAGTTTTCAGCATTTGTGGAATATGATGAAATTTCAAATCTGGTAATAAATTTCAAGTGAGTTTTGCCCAGATATTGCTGATATATATAAAACTTGTTCAGTCAAGCAGCTTATGTCAGAGGCTTGGAATAAAAGCTAAAAACAAAACAAATCTTAGAGTGATAATATAGTATTAAATGATTCTATATATTTGAGGATATGAACACTCATATGTATATGGACTGTTATATATAGATATGCATTATAAGGTCTGAATATAAAATGCTTGGTTGACAGAGAAAGTTGTATGGCTTTCAAGAGACAAAAAAGCAATACGTTTTATATACTAACAGAATTTATAGTGCATTTTTAGGCATTTGTGGAAGACTAAACCCAAAGCATTTGCATTCTAGCTTTAAAATACTGCTTTTAAAGACTTTTATAAACAGAGATTCAAGCTTTGCTTAGTCACTGAAAATTATTACCCTTACCTTTGTAACATATTTTTATAGTTTTGCACTGAAAGCACAACACAAATCTTTCCTATTAAATGTATCAAGTATCCACATGCTGAGAGATAGCATCCATATGTAATATCTAGAGGCATTTGGAATGTGTTTAGTCTGTTACAGACTTTAACTTTTCAGCTTAAGAATTTTTAGAATACCTTTTATGAATTCTCATGTTCTTTTCTATTTCACAAATATTTCTTTACTCCCACTCAAAATCCCTTCTATAAGACATAATAAATTATATGTATCATACTGATACCTACTCTTTAGTAATCATTAATAATGTGTTTTTACATTCACTTAAGAAAGCCAAACATTTTTAAGTAGCCAATCTTTTAAAAAAGAATACTTAAAAAATTTGTGAGAATGGAATTTTAAAAGTTGAGTTCTATTTTATGAGATTCTCCTTTCAGTATCTCAGAATAAATTTTTATTCTACCATTACACACAATAGTTGCAATTTTGTAGCTAGAAGCATTTTTGATAACTTTTAAATTATTATCACAAAAATAGTACTAGCCCAGAAAAAAAGCCTAGCAGACTTTCAATTTTGTTTACTGTAATATATAAGCACTTATAGAAAGTTAGATCTATTTAATAAAGATAAGTAATAAAATTTTACATAGACCATGTCTCATCATGTTCTTTATAAAATGTTATCTATTATTTGTTTCAAGTTAGAAAGGAGAACATTTGAAAAATAATGCCCCATGGACCAGTTCACATATTTTTATTTATTTAAAAAGAGAAAACAACCCTCAGTACTAGAAATACGTGATGGAGTTGTGCTCTGTAGAGATCTCTATATATGCACTCTTCATGGAAGAGAAACACAGCAAGTAGGACTGGACACAATTATTTGACGACATATCTCATAAAGTGAGATTTTACAAAGACATGAAAATAGGCTATTATTGCTATTTGTTTAGATAAACTCTAGAGTAGAATTCAGGGACTAGTGAACAGGACATGTGCACATTTATGTTTATGTTTTAGAGGACAGTATAGTAGCCAGAAAATAAGCTAGAAGGTTGGTTTAAAATGGAAAATACAGAAAATGAGGTAGACAGGATATTCTGGCAATGGAAAGAAAAAGCGGTTGACAGCCACTTACAAAAAAAACAAAAAACAAAAAACAGAAAATAAACTGTGTGAGATAAAAGAAAAATATTTTGGTTATACATAGAAGAAAAGTGGGAAAATTTTACTAAGATCAAAATAGCTATCTTTATACAACTTTCTAAGACATACTAAAACAAGCAGATAGTTACAAAGCATTAGTTCAACTAGTATTAAAATAGCAAAATGCTCTAAGATCTAATTGATAAAACTGAAACCAGCTGCTACCAATCTGAGATTTAGACAAAACTATAGGCGAAGCTGCAGAATCAGTGGTCTAAAAATGAGACTGTCATGAATGGCAACTCTGCTAGAGCTAGAAGTGAAAGGCTTCATTTGGTTTCCATCCAGAAGAAAGACTTCAAGCTTGAGGGAAAAATATACAATAGAAGCTGCAGATGTTTGTAAGTCTCATTTCTTTACACAAGGCAAATGGACAGCATTTTTAACACTAAGATTACTGAACTCAGTGGCAGGTCACTTGTTGAGGTATGGAAGAGATGAAATTGAGGATGGGGAGCCGGGGGTAATTTATTTCAGAAGAAAATCATGATTCACATGTGTAATTACAGAGAAAGTGTATCCCAGTGGTAACTTTTGAGTCAGGAGTCTGAGTAAATTATTTTAATTAAGACCTGGTGCCTCAGTTTCCTCATTTGCACACGGAGAACATTAAGATTAGGTAATTCCTGGCCAGGCGCGTTGGCTCACGTCTGTAATCCCTGTACTTTGGGAGGCCAAGGCGGGCAGATCACTTGAGGTCAGAAGTTCGAGACCAGCCTGGCCACCATGGAGAAACACCATCTCTACTAAAAATACAAAAATTAGCAGGGTGTGGTGGCACACACTTGTAGTCCCAGCTACTCGGGAGGCTGAGGCATAAGAATCACTTGAACCCAGGAGGCAGAGGTTGCAGTGAGCGGAGATCACACCACTTCACTCCAGCCTGGGTGAAAGAGCAAAACTTCATCTCAAAAAAAAAAAAAAAAAAAAAGATTAGGTATTTCCCTATTAGAGTTGTTGGCTTTAATAAGAAAAATAAAGATCATAACACATATATGTTACACATACCACATCTGGTATTTACAAAGCATTCAATAACTACCTGCTATTAGTATGATTGTTAGAACTGTCTAAGGAAACAAGCTTATAGGCTAAAAGAGAATAATCCATTTTTTTCTATTGATTTCCTCAGTAAGACTTTCTTAAAAAAGCCTTAAATACTGCAGGATTGAGGAACACGTTTTATTTGCAATCAGACTGCTGACATGCAGAGAGAAGACAAAGGACTGCAGCACATGGCTGAGTGTTAGCTGATTTTCTGGAAGGGTGGATTCATAGATCTGTGGCATGCAATAGTATGAGAGGCGGACTACAGAGCGAAACCTCCAGGAAGAATCTGTGGATAACCTTGAACTCTACTTGATGGTGAAATATCTTGAGGATGCAAATGTACTGAGTAAAAATCTATCAAAGACTTTGTTGTTGGTGATGAGATCCACTTACTTCACTTGAATTCAACAAATATTAATTGAGTTGTTTCATTGGGGAAGTTCCACAAGGAAAAAACAAAGACCAATGCTTGAGGAGTTTATAATCTAAGGGGAAGGTTGTGACAGGTAATAAAAAAGAACAGAAAGCGATGGGTTACAGTAGTAGATTCTCGGTGAATGCAAGGTATTACTTGGGAGGCAGTGTACTAACCTTCTTCTGGACATTATATCATGTACTGATACTAAATCTATAAAGTAAACATTTATATCACATCCATTTTAGAAGTAAACTTATGCTTAGAGAGTTTAATAACTTGTCCGACATCATACCATTTCTATAGAGTCAAGACTCAAATAGTGATTTATTGCACCCCAGAGCAGAGTTCTTAACTGCCTAACCAAGGTGCAGTTTCAAAGTGGAGGCACCTTGTGATGTGTTTCAGAGGAGGGTACAGGATTAGGAAGGGAAGCTGGGATTAGGAATCTATTCCTGAAGAAGGACAAACGGGTCTTCCATCAGAAAAGATAGGTGAGGGGATGGAGTGGGCATGCACAGGAGAGAAAGTCAACTGTATGGAGATATTGAACGAGGATAGTCTGTGAGCATAACAATTGGTTGTAATATTAGAGAGAGGGAGGGAGGGAGGAAGGTGGGAGAGAGAATAACGAGGAGAAAGAAGAAGGGAGAAAAGGGAAACAAAGAAAGGTGCTGTGTACAGGAGACAGATTAAACCATTAGCTTGAGATCAAAGCTCAGAGTGGTGTGTTAAATTTCTGGCTAGCAAATTTATACTTAATTTGCAGAAAATGAAGTCACTACAGGTTCTAGAATTAGGGAGAAGTGTGATAAACGCTATGGTTTAGAAATATTTATGCAGTGATATGTGACACCAATTGGAAAAGGGAACCACAAGGGAGAGACTGGTACTTGAGGCAGGAATTACTAAATTATTGCAATAATCTAGCTGAAACTAATAGAGTAACAGAGGCTTGAGCAATGATTACAGGAATAAAGCATCAAAACATGGGGAAATGTCCCACATATTTTGAGATGGCCTCTGCAAACAGTTTGATCAATGAATAGATATCCTTGACACAGGAGAGGATAGGCTAAAATGCGCTGGCGTTTTAAGAATGAAACAAAAGGCAAGTCTGGAAGAAGGCTTATCTGTGGAAGCAGGAGTGGAGAGATAAGGCAGAGTCAGAAATGAGATAGGAATTAGGGATGAGGTGAAGGTCTTTTGTACATATTGCTTGCTATTTAAAGAGACATTCAAAGTGTAATTTTCTTAAAAAACCACCAAACCTCTTGCTTCATTGTCTTTTTAAGATCAAAATAAGTTGAGTGGTGCTTCATAAGAGATGCATATTGTAAAACTATTTGGAGAATGTCTTTTAAATGTTATTTTAAATAAAGATGTTTGCGTTAATAATGGGTGAGCAGTTAACAGTTTTGCTTATGATTTATGGAGCAATGTGTTTTATCCATTCAGTCATTCACTTAGCAAATATGTCCCTATTATATTCCAAGACCTGTATTAGGTGTCAGAAACCCTTTGGAGGATTCACAGTCTTGCTTGGGTGAATGAGAAATAGTTACAATAAACTACAATCTGTGTAAAAATGACAATGATAATGGCAATAGCAATTAATGTTTCTTCAGCCTTTCATTTAGCATTGTGCTAAGTCGGTTGTCTGTACTATATCTCATTTAATCTTCACAATAATCTATGTGACCATGATACCAATTTTCCTATGAAGATACATATTAAAGAAGTAATGTAATTAGTCCAAGATTGCACAGGTAGTAAGTAGCAGAGTTAGTACTCAAACCCAAGACTTATCTAAATCCAAAAGGTCTGGAACTAAGGAATGGCTTGATAAATTCTGTGGTTTAAAACATTTTATCCAACAGTAATATGTGGGATCAATTAGAATAAGGGGAAACTGACATTTGACAGAGAAGTTAGTAGGTTATTATAATGGTGTAGCTGAGGGATAACAAAGGCTTGAGCAATGATTATAGAAATTAAACAGTTACAAGACATTTTGAGATAGACTACAAATAATTTACTTAGCTTCTACGTGGATGCGTGCCCAAAGTCCTATGCATGGGCCAAGCCCTGTGGCATATGAGATTCTCCCTGCCCCAGGAGCATATGGACCATGTAATTCAGACAGAATTGGCTTCCTAATTTCACTTCAACTGTTTTTCATCTCATACTGGCTAGAATCAATGCCCTGTCTTAGAACTGTAACCTCCAAGCTTTCCCCCATGCATTCAATGGCATTAAGATTGTTATCATCCTTTTCCCACTCCAGGGTCTTAAAGTGCTGGGAATTGCACTCACTCTACTTTTTGAATTTGATATAAAACTGATTTTAGCTGCACTTTTATATGAGAAGTTTCCTAGCCTTGGTCAGGTAGCATGAAATAAAACACCAAGGCATCAGGGAATGTACACGCAACAGGAATGTTTGAAATAGTGGCTTTGTAGACAAGAGTGGTGGGTGTCAATTAAGTCTCTAGCTGTCACTTAATTGCTATGAATTGTAGTTCCTTAACCTATTAAAGGTGATAAGAAAACTCATGTGAAAAGCCCGTTTTGATAATCAAATATACACACACACACACACACACACACACACACACACACACACACACACACATACATTTCTTAACTAAAGAATATATATGTTTTTGGCCGGGCGTGGTAGCTCATGCCTGTAATCCCAGCACTTTGGGAGGCTGAGGCAGATGGATCACCTGAGGTTAGGAGTTCGAGACCAGCCTGACCAACATGGAGAAACCCTGTCTCTGCTATAAATACAAAATTAGCTGGGTTTGGGGTGGCACATGCCTGTAATCCCAGCTACTTGGGAGGCTGAGGCAGGAGAATCACTTGAACCTGGGGGGCGGAGGTTGCGGTGAGCCGAGATCACGCCATTGCACTCCAGCCTGGGTAACAAGAGCAAAACTCCATCTCAAAATAAAAATAAAATAAATAAATAAATAAAAGAATATATATATTTTTAAGTTCCTATACTCCATTTCTCTCAATTCCCTGTAGCTGAAGAAAGCTTGGCTAATTTGTTCATACAGCCATAAACCAAACTAATGTTGACTCTATGATGCTATTCACATAGCATTTGGACAAGATATTAACAAACTTTTCAAAAAGCTAACACTGAAATAAGTGAAATTAAAGCCAAATAGAATAAGAGCATTACAATCATTATGTCTACCTCCAGAAACAATCTTATTAGTTTCTGGAGGTAGACATAATTAGATAATCTTATTAAGTTTCTGAAAAGATGGTGCTTGAAGATTTTCTATTACTCCCTACCCCATATCCCCCCGCCTTTTTTTTTTCTTCAGAGAGAGAGAGGGTCTCCCTATGTTGCAAGATGGACTCGAACTCCTGCACTCAAGTGATCCTCTGTATCAGCCTCTCAAGTAGCTGGGATGATAGGCAGGCACCACCTAGCCTAGTTTCCATCAAATTTTTAATACTGTATAGCTCATCAGTCAAAGAAACGATCTAAATAAAGAGTAACTATGCTCACGTGGCTATAAATAAGTTTGAGGAGAATCCATACAGTAAAGCACATGACAAAGGATGATGACCTATGTTTTTAAAAAGCTAATTTCATGTTAATTGTTTGGACTAAATGAAAGGAATACGTCAACTGCATGAATAATTATAAACTTCAGTAGCTTTACCTAATGCTGAAGTAACCATCTATTAAATATGAAATTATTTTCCTTATGCCAAATTTGAAGTGCGTTAAACAAAATGATGATTAGAACAATAATAGAGATGATGTGATATTAATGATAGTAGTAGAAACAGCAGCAAACACTCACAGGATTTATCCTAACCACAACACTGTGCAAAATGGTCTACATGTATTAACTCATTTAATACCCATACTAACCCTCTGAATAAGATTTTAATACTATTTCCATTCTACAGACTAGAAACTAAGAGAAAGAGAAATGAGTAACTTGTCTAAGCTCACAGGACTAGTAAAGAGGCATAGCTGCGATATGAACCCAGGCACTACCTAGAGCTGAACTGGGAATCAATGCAAAGCAAAGAAAGTACTGGGAAACATGGCAGCCACTGACAGCAAATGAGTTGCCTTCATTAAGAACATGAAAAACCCTGGTTGATAGACAGGGTTCATTTTATTTCATCAAGTAAACTATTACAAGGGTGTTAAAGCACAATACAAAGTAGCACTCAAAGAGCTAAATTTAGGGTTCCCCGGTGGTCTAGTGGCTAGGATTTGGTGCTTTCAAAGAGCTAAAGTCAAAGTAAAACCACCACAATGACCTCTGAAATGTTCATTTGAAATTGCTGTTTGAGGAGAGAAAAAAGTATTTCAGAAATCCTGGGTACAGAAGAGTATTGGATGGATTAAGGATCATTTGTATATATGTTTGTCAGTAAGTTCTCATATGAAGAAAACACTAGAAAAGAAGAATTAAGTAACTGTTAGACTTGGGACATGTTGCACTCCATGATTCTACTTATCCTGATCTTTCTTGTAAAGTAAGAACAATTATAAACTATTAAAAAACACATCAAATTGAAATAAATCAGATATTCTTATCTGTATAAAGAGAATACCTCAATGTGTCCTTAGTTCTTGGCGAAGTTAGTAGTTCTGTCTGTACACCATTCAAAACTTCTCTGTCTTCCAAGTTCTGCGTGGAATCCTATAGTGAAACAAAGTCATAAGCATGTGATGCTGTGCATATTGAATTGAAAATCTGAATAAAATATCCCAATATGGGAGAGTAAACCGCTTTACGCTGGATATATACAGTATGCTCTAATTTCTTTGAAAACTGGAAGCAGGTGTTAATCTTTTCTGTGCTTTCAATGTTCTTTTCTCTCCTGTTTGGTTTCTGAAATGCTCAAATGGGTCATCTACACAATGCAATATGTTAAGAGCTTTGGAATACATTTAGCTTCTTGCTACTCAGCCATAGGCTTTTGGGATTGAGTGTTTTAAACCAGAAAGGAAAAGAATACCAAAGGGGGGACTCTGGTGACAGATGGTGATATATTAGCCTTAAGGTACGTACTTGCTTGCCCCTCACAACATTAAAATATAAAGAAAAGCAAAATCCATGAAAAAACATTGCCTGGCAAAGTCACCTCTGTCAAAGTCAGGCAGAAACACTGCAGGAAGAAGAAATCCAGAACTCTTACTTTGTCATGAAATTTGACTCTGAGGATAATCTTCAGAGAGAGATTCAAATTGCCTATTTAATTTCTAAAATTGTAAACAGGCTCCCACTACAGAAAGGTTAGAGGGTCAGAGAGGCCCTGTACTCCAGGACAGTGGAAAAGTTGTATTGGATGTTACCCAGAGAAGCAGAGGAGAGGATGGATTCTAGAAAGCACGCCTGATGCTGCTGCTTCCTTACAGAAGACATTAGGGCTCAGAGCTGTTCCCTAACAGGGAATCCTGTGGATACCTGTCTCTTCATAAGTGGAGTCACAATAAACTATTGTTACACGTGGACTCCGGTTTCATCAAAGCAACAAACCAGATATAGAAAGACCCATTATCAAAAACCCACACTTATAAACAGCATTTATGCATCTGAATGCATTATTCCAACAGAGTAAGAAAGACAACATACGAGCTTAAGAGGCTGGACATAAGTAAATTAGGTTATCTTTTTTTAATTTTTATTTTTGAGACAGATAAATATATCTATAAATATTTTATTTATATAATTTATATAAATATTTATTTTACATAAATAAAAAATATATTTATTTTACATAAATAAAAATATGTTTATTTTACATAAATATAAAATATGTTTATTTTACATAAATATAAAATATGTTTATTTTACATAAATATAAAATGTTTTTTACATAAATATAAAATATGTTTATTTTACATAAATATAAAATGTTTACATAAATATAAAATGTTTACTTTACATAAATATAAAATATGTTTATTTTACATAAATATAAAATATGTTTATTTTACATAAATATAAAATATAAATATAAAAATAAAAAAATAAAAAAATATATATTTTTATTTTTATTTTTTTTGAGCTCTGTCGCCCAGGCTGGAGTGCAGTGGCATGATCTCGGCTCACTGCAACCTCCGCCTCCCTGATTCATGCCATTCTCCTGGCTCAGCCTCCCGAGTGGCTGGGATTACAGGTGCCCACCACCACACCCGGCTAATTTTGCTTTTGTATTTTTAGTAGAGATGGGGCTTCACCGTGTTAGCCAGGATGGTCTCAATCTCCTGACCTCATGATCTGGTCGTCTTGGCCTCCCAAGTGCTGGGATTACAGGCTTGAGCCACCGCGCCCAGCCAAGTTATTATTTTAAAGAAAGTAAGACATAACTGCAACAGAAGCACTTTGTTGTAGTGAAATGAGTTAAAAAAAATGTCTCTCACTTTTAGATTGAGTAGCAACATTTCATGCAGGGGTTGGTAGTTTTGTGAAACACTTGGTCTACTCTAGACTTTTAAAAAATTAATTTTCTCCTTTTCATGTAGATAAGAAAGAATTTCCATAAGGCTAAAGAACACTTCATGGTTTAAGGTACCAAATTTTAAAAGACGATTGTTTTTGAAAGCTCTCAAACATTCATATTATTATGAAGGGCTTGATATATGCTTACAGATAAGTGGAGACAGGGTTGGGCGGGTTACAAAAATACTTAGGTGGATAATTTAACATAATATTGGAACCTGTGATTATCATGTATGTCAGGATATTTGATGGCCTCATTTTTGCCAAAATCATTAACTTTCTTATCTGTTTCTCTTACACAGGAATGAATTTGTGTCTGCTTCTCTATATATCAAGCACATAACACCAAGAGCTCATTGTATTAATTTTCTAATGTTGTATAATAAATTATCCCACAACTTAATAAATTAAAAAAATAAACATTTATTCTCTCTCACAGTTTCTCTGAGCCAGAGATTTAGAAGTAGCTTAGCTAGGCGGTTCTAGGGTTGGATCGCTTGTAAGTTTGCAGCCCCATGTCTGCGGGGCTGCAGCTACAGTCATCTAAAGGATTGCCTTAAGATCATTTTTATTTCTTACAACAGCTTTATCGATATGTAATTTACATAAGAGTCACCATTTTAAAGAGTACAATTAAGTGGTTTTCAGTATATTCAGAGTTTTGTAACCATCATCAACTAATGTCAGAACATTTTTATCACCCCAAAAAGAAACCTCAAACTCCATTAGCAGTCATTCCTCATCCTCCCCTTCCCCAACAGGCCCTGTCAATCATTAATCTAATTTCTGTCTCAAAGGAGTTGCCTATTGTAGACATTTCATATAAACAGAATCATAAGACTTGTGGCTTCTTTCACTTAGAATAATGTTTTCAAAAGCTCATCCATGTTGTAGCATATATCAGTATTTTACTCCATTTTATGGCCCAACAATATTCCACTTTATGGATATACCACACTAAGTTTATCCATTCATCAGCTGGTGAGCATTTGGGTTGTTTCCACTCTTGCCTATTATGAATAATGTTGCCATGAACATTTGGGTACAAGTTCTTGTGTGAACATATGCTTTCTGTTCTCTGGCGTACGCTGTGGAGTGGAATTGTTGCTCATATGGTAACTATATGTTTAACATTTTGAGGAACTGCTGCACTATTTCCCACATGTCTGAATAATTTGCCATTCTTACCAGCAATACATGAGGGTTTTAATATCTCCATAGACTTGCCACAACTTATTTTCATTTTTAATTTTAATTTATTTTATTCATCCTAATGGGTATAAAATCTCCATAGACTTGCCACAGCTTATTTTCATTTTTAATTTTAATTTATTGTATTCATCCTAATGGGTATAAAGTGATATGTCATTGTAGTTTTGATTTACATTTCTGTAATGACCAATGATGTTGAGCTTCTTTCCCTGTGATTATTGGCCCTTTGTGTATCTTCTTTGGAGAAATGTCTATTTGTCTTTTTATTATTGACCTGTAGAGAGTTCTTTAAATATTCCATATACAAATTTCTTATCCAATATATGATTTACAAATATGTTTTCCTGTTCTTTGGGTTGTCTTCACTTTCTTCATGTGTCCTTTAAAGCACAAAAGTTTTTTATGTTAACGAAGTCCAATGTATTTATTTTTTCTTTTGTAGCTTGTGTTTTTGGTTTTGTATCTAAGAAACATTGCCTAATATAAGGTCACAAAGATGTACACCTTTGTTTTATTATAAGAATCTTATACGGTGTTAGCTCTTACATTTAGGCCTATTATCATTTTGAGTTCATTCCTGCACACTGTGTGAGGAAGGAGTTCAAATTCATTCTTTGCATGTGGATATCTAGTTGTGCTAGTATCATTCATTGAAAAGATTGTTTTTTTATTCATTGAATTGTCTCGACACCCTTAAAGAAAATGAATTTTCCAAAAATGTAAGGGTATATTTCCGGATCCTCAATTGTATTTTATTCATTGATCTATACCTGTCTATTCTTATGTCAGTACGACACAGTCAATTATTGTAGCTTTGTACTAAATTTTGAAATCAGGATGTGTGATTCTTCCAAATTCGTTCTTATTTTTCAAGATTGCTTTGGCTATGCTGGGTCTCTTGCATTTCCATATTAATTTTGGAATCAGTTTGTTAATATCTGCAAAAAAAAAACAGTTGGGTTTTTGCTAGGGATTGCATTGAATACATAGATCAATTTGGAGAGTATCACAATCTAACCATCATAAAGTCTCTCAATCCATGAACAGTTAACAGTGACAGTTAATTAAAATAAATATTCTTTTTAGTTTTATAATTCTGTATGGGATGTATCCTCAGAGTGTCAAAGAAAAAAACTGATATTTGCTATAAAGTTTTATATCATTATTGTTGCCTCTGCACCATACTCTAAATGGAACTTTGTTGTTGATCCCTAACAAGGTAGAAAAATAACATACTTTCTGGCTCAAATCAACATTACGCAAGATTAAAAAATGAATTTTTCATCTAGTTCCAGTTAGATAGCAAGTAAAGATTCTATTCATATCAACAAGTTACTTAATTCTCTGAGTATATGGAAATATCAATTACAATTTGAAAGTAATATTGGGCCAAATACAATGTCATAATCTGCTCAAGGGTAATTCTGAACTGACTACACATTTGGAGAAATCATGTCAATGACTACAGACTTTAAAAAGAATACACATTCACAGACTTATATCTCCTATTATTATTAAGATAATATCAAAAACACTTTCCCTTGCCGAAGCTATCAAAAAAGGGTAGTAACTATAGTTTATCATCTCAACTAATGAGCAGTGTTTATCACTTGCCAAGATCATTTCCATATATTGCACTAACAAAATTCTTTGATATTCTCTGAAGATGGGGCAGGCAGACAGATGCTTAGGGCATCCTATAAGGACATAAAGCCAATTTCAAATTGACTTCAGCAACACTGTAGCTGTGCAGTGCTTTGATACTTATCGACAAGGCAGTTTACCTCTTAACAGGGTACATAAAATCATTTTTTCCAAAAATTACAAAATAACTGACAAATGATAAGTTAAGAATACTTAAGCTTTTCCTTCACTAAATTACATGGTAAAATGAAGAGTCATGAAATTGCACATGTCTAAAAATGAAAATATAGTTTTCCTCATTGCTTATTTAAATGACTTTGAGAAAAATCTGTAAGATGACTTTTAAATTTGGAAGGAAAGGTAGAAAAATAACCCTGATTATGAAGAATCAGAGGTATAAACAACTGATGCCAAACAGCTACCATATTTCTTCAGCTTTATGTTTGAACAATATTAATTATGTGATTTCAAATCCTCAAACTTGCCTCTAGAAAACATAATGGTTTTGGACGCTCTATAATTAATTTTATTAATATAATTCTTACAGCTTCTATTTTTAATGTTAACATAGAAGGATATAATGAGCTGTATGAAATACAAGGTATAGAGCTATTTCAAAATTTTATCTCCTCTTTTGGTCAAATGACAAGGCTTTGCTGTCTAAAATAAAGTTCAGCAGGAGATTGTGTCCTGCCAACTGGTCAGACACCTTTAAGATGTTTGCCCTTTACCACTTTCATCAGAGCAGGGAACAGACAGATCATATGTAGCTCTCACAACAGACAAGTTTAATTACTACAATTTTTTTTAAAGCGAACGTTTTTAGCAACACTTTCAGGATCAAGGGAGCATTTCTGACAGCCAAAATGAGTTGGATTTAAACATCACCGCACTATTTTTAGCTTTAAAATCAACACTTCTATAATTAGTCCCAAACCAATTAGCAACAGCTGGAAAGTAAAGGTGTTTACATTTGGTTAGCACTAGCGCTAACAACTGCAAGTGCTCACAGGCTGGATGAAAGGGGCCAGGCACCAAGAGGGGCAACGGTCTCTCCAGGGGTGATTAAGGTATCAGTACCAGGCTATCATTTCATATTTCACAGTTAGTACCAGTCACTGATTTCATACAAGAACGTGTATTCATTATGAAGCATCACTAGGTTATACATGTCCAAAGAAACTTAACACTATTGATACTTTTTTTTGGAAGAGAATGCTCATCGCATTCCCAAGTTCTCATGGAATTTCCCTGGTCTAGTGTCGCTACAAAATGAAATTAAAAGTAGTTTTATTGCTCGGTTTTTCATCTCTCAGATGAGAACTGAAATAGCGGTCCTGTCTATCAATAAGTATCTCCCTCTGATTTACAGGTGATCATATATGGCCATGATTTTTCCCCCTCAATGAATTTTAGCTACATTGGAAACCACTTGCCCATAAAATTTAACTGCAGCTGAATTATGTTTTAAAAACTCAGGTGCATTTAAAAACAAGATTTGCATTCTGAAAAGTCAACTGCAAGTTTCTTTTGAAAATACACATGAATGTTAGAATGAGAGTAATAGAAACATTATACAGAGAGGATCTGAACATCAGGTTATGTGCCTGGTGCTCATACATAATCATAATGTAAATTTTAAAATTAAAATTCTGGGCATAATTCCAGAATATTTGTTTTTACTTTTCAGAACAAAAATATCTGTGCTAAAGTAAAACAAACTGTATTTGATAAGCACACATGAAATTAACATGCAATTTGATTGTTAAACACTGTTATTTTCAAACTTCATATATATTTTTTATGCCTTTGGAAATGCCTTGCCATTGGAAATCTCTCAGTTGACTTCAAAGATACCATCCCTAAATGTTTCAGTCTTAGCAATTAATATGCCTATAATTTACTACACACACACACACACACACACACACACGCCACTAGATTTTACACCTACATAGCCAGAAATTGGCATGACAATTAGAGATATAAAAGTGCTAAATTAAAAGCTGCTTAAGAAGAACTGTGTTTTATTCATTTCTATGCCTAACAGTGGTTCTCAAACTTTAACGTGGATCAGAAGAATTACCTGGAGTGTTGTGACAACCTAGATTGCTGGGCCCCGCACTCAATGCTTGAAGTTCTACTGCAGTAGGTCTAGGGTGAGTCCCGAGCTTCTACAAGTTTCTGATGCTGCTTGTCCAGGAGCCACACTTCAAAAACCACTGCCTTAAAGTAGCTAGTACAGATCTGAGACTCAGGAAAAATCCTAAAAATTATTAACTAAGCCGGGAAGGATGGTGTTGATGAGTGAAGCCAGTTCACCCATTTTATAGCTAAGGAAACTCAGACGCAGAAAGCTGAAATGACTGGTCTCCTTTTACATGTTGTGTTAGTGACAAAGCCAGAATCTAGGATTCTTGATACTCAGTTCAGTGTTCTTTCTGTGCACCACAATAAATACTTGCTGACTTAAGGAATGTTGACCTTATTACTTATGTTATGGATTCTTTTTTAATGACAGCAACAAAAACCTATAATAATGTCTTCATTATACTTTACCTTTCTTTCAAAGATCTCAAACTATTTCACATATAACTAGATGTATATCCACAACAATCTAGTGGATTTCTTGGCACTCCTATTCCAATTTCATACCTGAACATATGCAAGACAAAAAGATGACTATCTTGTCGAAGAAGAAACTGAAGGTCAAAGAAAGAACCAAAATTTCTTGGGACCCCCGTTTCCTAAGACTTAGTTTTGAAAGCAAGCACATTAACTGTATTTACCTTGTAATGTCTCTTGGTTGTTGATTTCAGGCAAACAGGGTAAGGAAAAGATACCATATTATGAAACAAACAGAGAAATTATTTATACGAAAGACTATCAAGTTTTTCATTATTCTAGAGATTATGCTCTAATAATTGCATCTTTAAAATAAAAAAAACCTTTTTTGGAATACGATTAGATCATAAATATTCTACTAACTAGTCCCTTGCTAATCCTGGGAGCAGGTAAAATCATTAACATTAAATGACTGGCTCAAATCCTTGGCTTATGGAGAGCATGCACACAGGGTGCTCATGCACATTCACAAACACACACTAAGCCATGTGGATAAATTACCTGAATGCATATGGGATAAAACTGCACTCAGTGTAAACAGTTCTGAACTTTGTAAAATGCACTAAAAGTCTACAACTTTCAATGGACTGTTTTCACAGAGATTATGCAGTTGTGGATTATGTGCTACAGAGGCTAAATCCCATTGATAATCAATATAATCAGGGTTGGCCACACCTTCTCTTCATCTGGTGTGTCTGCAAGAGATGCTGAATGATTTTCATAGGTTTAATAAAAATAAATTTAAAATGAGTGAAGATCAAGATACAGTAACTGAATTCTGGTCTAACACAAAAGAGACACAGATTCTAATATAAGTTCATCATTGCTTTGTCTGGTGACCAGACACATCACCTCCTGGCCCTCACTTCTATTTTCTTTATATTGGGGATAAGAAGATTTTTAAGGTCCATTCCAAGCATAAAATGTCATAATGCACCAAATACTAAGGCAGGCAAACTCCAACTGAATAAACATACATATAAAAATTCCCCAACAGATCAATTAAGAGGTATTCATTTGACCAAATGTTTTCTTGGAGAGCTTCCCTTGAGAAGCACTCTCAGAATAGATAACACTTTTATACTTTCTTAACATACTAATTTCTATACAACTTTTGAGGAATAAATCTATGGCATGAAGCATACCTGAAATAAAACCAAAACCTTCTCTCTATACCCCTATTTCTTTTTTATTTTCCTATGATCTTTTCTTGGATATTTTCTTTTCTTCTCATTGCTAATAATCAGCACAGTTAGAGTTCATTGTTAAGATTTCTCAGTATTCTGATTGAGATTTTAAAAGACCAGTGAAATTTTTATAATAAAGTTCTTTAAAATTATACCCTTTACCTGCTGGAGTTTTTTTGTTTGTGTTTGGTTTTATCGCTTATTTTTGGTAGAAATGTGTAAAAGTTGACTTAAGCTGATACCAGGTGTCAAAAGACAGCTGTGAGCTTTTAAAAAAGGCAGAGGTGATGGTGGGTAGAGAGGGAATTCTGTTTCATTTGTGAGATTTGAGTGGACCAAACACATTCATCCATCTCATCGAGGTATCAGAAATGAAAATAACTACTGATGGCAAGATCAACATTTCATCTGCTCTGCTAATCTTTCAACATAAGGCTAACACCAGTGGGTGCACTTCTCCCTACACAAATATGTTCAAGTAAAGGCTGCTTTAAAATCTTCAGAGCCATAGAAGTTTAGAAGTTCAACAAAGTAATTCTGCAACCCCTCCTTTATTGTTCACTGTTTCTTTCTCATATTCAAATAACACATTTCAAAAGTGCTGAAAAGAGTGGAAAACAATTTTTTCAAATACAAGACTGATATAAACATGTTTATAATCATAATTTCTATTTATAATTGGATTCTTTCCCACATTCAGTTATAGCTAATTTTCCCCTAGTTTTCCTATATCATTAAATATATTAAAACTGCTTAAGCCCAGTGCTTCGATACACAAAGATAATGTTGTTTATTATTGAAAGGGTGAAGATATTGAAAAACAGCAATTTCCACAAGGTCTGCTTCAGATCATGCTAAATCATAAAATGTATGATCAAAGGTATTATAAACATCCTTCTTTCATTTAATCTATTTAAACTATACCATCTTCTCAAATATTTAGAATCCAGGTCTGTCAAAATGGACATTTATATGGTACTAGGGCTTCATTTGTAACTCCAAATCATCACCTAAAGCTGGTAAATAGAAAAAACTTAAGGAAGTTGGGATAATTCAGCAATTACCAAGCATTTCTACCTTAACCACTTTCATTTTGCTGGCTGAAATACATCTCAATCAAATTTGGCTCTAGTAAATATCCCATATACACTGATGCAAAGCTATACAAAAGCCAGGTTTGGATCAGAGAGAGTAGAGATAAAAGGTCACACTATTAAAGCAATTGTTTATTTTTGCACAGGCATTTCACGCATGCCAACACAAGCATACTTCCCTGCTGGTCTTCATGACGAAAATCTTCAGGATGAAAATGTGCTGCAGAAAATTTTTAATCCACAGACCAATTCCATAGCTGTGTCATGAACAGGGTAAGAAAGAAAAGAAAAGCACACTTATTCGTATGTGTGCTTAGTTTGGTAGTACATTTAGAAAAAAAAAATCTCAAAATTTAGGAAGCCAAAACTGTGTTAAAGAATTTTTTTATAACTATTAGATAGAGAACCGCATTGACAAGCCATCTTAGTTCATGAATAAGGCAAGTTCAAGGACTTCTTGAAAAGGTCTTTTTTATTGCCTATCGTCTATAAGCATTTCACCCTCTTCTCACCCAGACTCAAACCTTCCTGACTTTGCCATGTGCATCTGTTGCTCTCCTATGACCTTCATATATCTTCCTACACAATCATTTCGCCATTCACTTTGTCATTCTTGCATTTCACTTTGTGACATCTTTATTGGAAGCCTCTAGTTTCAAAAAACAATTTCACAGCTTATAAGACCTACTGAAAATAAACAATTTGGGGAAGGGTTTTCTTCAGACAACCTAAGAGGCACTTGAAGCAATCCTTACCATGACTTATGTGAAGAAGGAGGAACAGCGGAAGAGTCAAAGACAACTGTATGGAGAGAAGTAGGGTGATCCAGAGCCGGCTACACCATCGTGGGTTCTTATAGCATGTGGAAACACAGCTTGAAATGAGGTGCAGAGGTCTGAACTGCTGAGAGCAGCTGTAGTCATGGGCAGCAGTCAGCAAAAGGTTTGTTTGTTTTTTGAGCAAGGGTAGAAACACAACAAAGAGTTAGGAGAGACTCTGCAAAAGTAGCTATAGCCAGACCAGAATATATTCTGATCACACAAGGAAACCACCATGCATTTCTATTTAAATACAAATGTTTTAAACTTAAAACTTTACAGTGCTTGAGAGGTAGAGGGATGCACTGTCCCATTAAAATAATCTATTGGTTATCAATAGCTAAAATGTAAGCTCCAAGTAGGCAGGCAGTGGTTTTTATCTGTTGTGTTCACAAATATATTCCCAAAGCTTAGAACAGTGCCTGGCAAAGGGGAGATGCTCAACACATACCTAGATACACCAGTTTTCTAGAATACCATTGCTTGCCTGGCAAATATCCAGCCATCTATACCTTCACACCCAACTCAGTATGAGCCACTTTTTCCCTGAACACTCTGCATGGACTCAATCTCCCTCTTCAGTGCCACTTTCATGCCATGTGCAAGCTCTGTCATGGCATTCATTGATCTCGGGGTAGGTGAAGATTTCTTTACAGGTCTGTCTGCCTTGCTTGGTTCTGAGAGCTTTGAGGTGGGGAATGAGTCTCATCCATCTTGGTATCCCTGTCACTTAGCACAGGACTGAAATACAACAGATACTCTACTTGCAAGGGGTTTACTGGGTAAACAAATCTGTTCCTTTTCCTTAAAGGGTCTTAGTTAACTTTCAATAGAATATATATTTATGACGTCTGGAGTATTATGCTAGACTCCATGTGCAGAGTATTGTGCTGGACTCTGGGGGGATTCAAAGATGAATATGACAATATGATACTGTCTCTGCATTCGAAGTTGCCAGCCAGCTGGAACCATTGCCAGAGGCATCTCTGGCAAGAGAATTTAAAGTGCAATTGAAAGCTAATCTTTATTTATGGATTGAAATAATTGAAGTAAAAGAGAATGCACTGATTTGTACCTGGCTGGTTATGTTTCTTTACATATGCACCTATATTTTATTTATTATAATGTAATTTAAAATGACTTTCATTATTTATAAAATACATTTAAACCAATATTTAAAATCAACTAAGTTCCACAATCGCTGGAAGCTTGAGTTAATCACATTCTCACCAGCTGAGAAAGGAAACTTCCATGCTGAAACCTCCAGATCCTGAACCTACAGACTAGAGATTGTTGATCAGTATGGGGACCTTACACTTGAGGCAAGACTGCAAGCAAGGCCCACCATCTCAGAAAATCTGTTTTGAACCTCTTGCTCGATATTCCTCTCCTCTTCCAGCTATCTCTTTTCTTTAGACTTAATCGTGGGTCAAGGTAGAAACAACTCTTGGGGCAACTGTCCTCTTCCATTGCTCTTTCTTCTTTCGGCATTTCCTTAGCCTTCATTGGTGCATCACCTCCCAAGTACCTCCAAACCCTTCTCCTCCTCTGTTCCTAGGATGCCCTGAAACTCTTTCATAAGCTCAAGAACTTCCTTAAGTATTGTCTCTGCTACCTTGATGTAAATGACAATAAACTTTCCCCAAAGAAACCACTTCCTCGGCAACCCTATGAAGTGAGACATGATCATTTTCTTCATGCTGCCCACTCTCATCCTGGAGCTGTTTCTAGATAAGAATTTCCTGTTTCCTCCTCTGGAAGCTGCCCCATGCTGCTTTACTATTCCCTTTTCATTGTCCACACCTGAGAGTCTCCAAGTTGGTCCTTCAGCACTTCCTCTTGCTCCATCATTTTAATTAATATTTTCTCCCTCTCTCATGCCTTATCTTTTAGTATCACCCTGGGTGACATCCATGTCCACAGGCATCTTACACCTTGACCTCACTCAGTACCTTCTCCCTCTAGTAGCCTTCTGCTTTAGGAACTCTGTAATCAAAAGCAAAATTGAACACGGGAATTCAAGGGAAAGGTTTTTGGGTAACGCTCATTATTCAACAAAACTATATCATCAAATGAGAAATAACAGGGCTAGCAAACCCATAGCAAAACAGGAATCATTCAGTTCACAAGTCCTTATTGAGGGTCCCCTTTGCTCCAGTGCTAAGCACTGGAGATACAGAGATGAAAAAATGTATACACTTTTTGCTCTGAAGAGTCCATTCTGGGGAGTAAGGAGCACAGAAGCTGGAGAGAAGATACTAATGAATGGCCCGTCTACTGTTCCCCTTTGCATGTTCTATAATTCAACTCAACTGAGCACCAGCAAGATCCCAAACACACTGCTATTCTTTCTCTAACCTCACCCCCATTCCAAGTGTAAGATAAGAACTGATATGTAGCTGCTAATCCAAGCCCATATCTTTGACAGAATTGTAAGAGACTTGTAGCACTGAGATGATGATAAATGTTTTCGCAGACACATCCTTAAATAGTGATAGCTCTGTGGGACCATATCTAAATAGGAGAGGTGGTGGTTGCTAGAAACAACAACAACAAGCCTGAGTGAATGTGGGGAGGATATTCTAATGGCCACCCTCCTCATCTATTTCCCCGAGAAGGTGCAGAAAAGTGAGAGGTCGCCAATGCTGCGATCTTTTCTGGAGCCTCTTTGAAAATACATCACTCCACATACAAACCTCCCAGTGTAAATGATGCAGTTTGTGCCACGGCAAAATTATGAATTATTACAAGCTCTGGGCCTTTGGCTTACATGTAGTATGTGTATATGATTTCAAATGTTGAATCCATAAGTACTAAAGGTCTTATGTTCTTAACTTCTATTCCATTTGTTGGCTACTTTGGGGTTGAAAAACTTCAGCCTCTAATGCTTAAATCTCTTCCGCTAACCCTGCATAGACAATTACTAGAATAACTAGAAGCAGCCAAGGTGTACTATAATCAGATTGCTTAATTTACATATTTATAACTGCTTCTATTAGACAGTGATGATTTAATCCAAATATCATCTCTGGATTAATCCTTGAATCCCATTCAGACTCACCAAATGGGTAGTTAGTTGAGCAATTGTTTGGGGCCAAAATCCTATGCAATGAAAACTGGTAGAGGATGAAATTGGCCGACTGTTTACACATTCTGATTGCTTTTGCCTAAGAGCTACAAACCAGCTTCATAAAGAACTTCCCCACACTAATGGGCCAATCTTTTCCCATAGCATGTGCATCACTGCCCGTCTCTCTCCACTTCCACTCCCAAGAGGCTCCAAGAGCACAGTGTCTACACTCAGTAAATCCTCATGAAGACTGACCTGGCTTCTAGCTTACAAAGTTGGAAGAAAGAAAGCCATGTAAAAACACCTCCGGTTGTCTGCCTGAGTTTTATTGGCTTAGTTTATAGTGGATACTCATATTAACTGACTGAGTGAGTAAACCAACTTACCCAACCTGCCATCTGATTGTGAAGCTGACTGCAGCACCATACTCCCTAGCAGAGGAATGTGGGCCAGCACTCCTTTTCACAAGTGCATGCAGAAATAACAAACCCCAGAGAAACTGTTGTAAATATTTGGATCTTTCCTGAACTGTACTTTTAATATGTTATGAGAATAATAACAAGGAATGGTTAAAAACATACATGAAGCAGTTATGTTTCAAACCTGTAACAGATCACTTACTCAATGCCACATGACACAACAAAACAGTGTCCCAAATGAAAAAGAGGAAATCTTTTTAATCAAACCTTCCCTTGGTATGAACAAAACAGAGATTTTCATTTCACTCCAGTTACATTAAGGTTTCTCCCACAGCACTATGCCCAATCACTCCGCCATATCTAATTAGTGAGGCAACCTCACACTTTTAATGAACTCCCAGGGTTGCACAGAAAAGCACATGCTTCCTGACAGATAAGAGTTTTTAAGCACAGTGGTGATGTAAACCTTGCTCTTCTCTTCTTGTTACAAGGGAAATAATTCTGTAGCTGAGGGTACTCCGTTGATGCACCTCTACAAAATACAGCAAATCACCTCTTCACTTGTGAGGCAATCAAAGCAGATTAAAATCACTGCATTTAACAGCTCTTCAGAAGGAATGGCAACTGGACGCAAAAATGATAGTTCTATAGAATCAAACATATTGGTTAATTTTCTGTGGATGACCTTCCTCTGAGAAAGGAGCAAATTACAGATATGACAATAAAGAAAAAAACCTGGTTTTCATTCTTTCTTAAAGACTGAAGTACATGCATACAGAAACAGTAATGGTTAGGACATCCACTGGATACAAAAAAGTTGAACAAAATAATTGACTCAGTCCTACCCTTGACTTCAGGAAATGGAGAATCAATGAGATTTTGGACTCAGATTTGCCATCTCACCAGAAAGGAAAAACAGAGAAATGACTGGTTGTTTGGTAGTTGGTGTACAGCACTAGGCTGAAGTGCCATGGACAGTGAAAGGAGCCAGGGCATGAAATTTGTTTGCTGACCTCCTACTTTGCCCTCCTCAGTCAGATGGTCAGGTATGTCCCTATCAAGGTGGCACATATTTTATGAGTAAGCCCAAGGATTAAGCGCTTGCAGAAAAAGAGAGTCGGGGAGGCCAAGGTGGGTGGATCACCTGAGGTCAGGAGTTCAAGACCAGCCTGGCCAACATGGTGAAACCCTGTCTGTACTAAAAATACAAAAATTAGCCTGGCATGATGGCAGGTGCCTGTAATCCCAGCTACTCAGGAGGCTGAGGCAGGAGAATCGCTTGAACTCTGGAGGCGGAGGTCGCAGTGAGCCAAGATCATGCCATCGCACTCCAGCCTAGGGGACAAGAGCGAGACTTCATCTCCAAACAAACAAACAAAAAAAGAAAAAAAGAAAAAAAAAAAAGAAAGAAAAAAAAAAGAGAGTGCCCATGAGTTATGGCCTCACTGCAGGCCGGGCATGGTGGTTCATGCTTGTAATCCCAGCACGTTGGGAGGCCAAGGCAGGTGGATCACGAGGCCAAGAGACTGACACCATCCTGGCCAACAGGGTGAAACCCCGTCTCTACTAAAAATACAAAAACAAATTAGCTGGGTGTGGTGGCGGGCACCTGTAGTCCCATCCCAGCTACTCGGGAGGCTGAGGCAGGAGAATCACTTGAACCCAGGAGGCAGAGGTTGCAGTGAGCTGAGATCAGGCCACTACACTCCAGCCTGACGACAAAGCAAGATTCCACCTCAAAAAAAAAAAAGACAGTCATAAGTGTTGCACCATTCTATATACTTTGCATTATGATTGGCAGTCATTCCCATAAATCTCTATTATTGACACAAAGAGGTTGAGACCAGGAGGCAGAAAGACATACAAAGGAATAGAAAGGGGACAGTGTAAGTCAGTAACTCTCTTCATTAATGTGACATGAATTTGTCTCACTGTTCCCAGAGTTTTGCCCGAACATAGTGAAAGTTGAGGGTTGATTTTTACTTAACATAGTTTTCTCTTCCTCTGAATTCTGTGGCTATGGTCCAAATGGTTTAAAACAGAGCAAAACTGCTTGGTTTTCTTTCCCATTATTTTTCAAAGCAACTCAGTCATCCCCCCAAGCCCAGCTTATCACATTTTACCCTATTATTTTAAAAAAGAAATATAACAATCTATTTATTTTCTTTCTGTCCACTTGGATTGAATAATTCAATCCTCAATGTGCTCATGCATCTAGATCTAGTCTTATCTTAATTTATTTCCTTATTTATGCTCAAACTCTGTCAAATTTTAATCCTTCCCTCTAAAGGAAGTTACTCTGTACAGCTGTCAAATGCATCACTGAGTACGTTTCTATCATGATCCTCAGTTTCCATTAGGGTGCTAATGATGACTTCTCAGTACTGGAAAGACTGGTGAGTGCCCATGAGTTATGGCCTCACTGCGGGAACTCAGTCATCATTTGGATCACAGTTGCAAAATCTTTAGAGCCTGACACTATTTACCTGTCTCTGAGAATCACATTCATCTAGATGCCATTGCACAAAAATAGCTTTCAATTTAAAACTGCTGTGAACTAGAATAATTGGCTTAACTCTGATGTCCTTATGATTACACTGTCACATTAGAAGATGCACTTTAAGTATTTTTTTTGGTATGACTTCCGATCAACACACGATATTCACATGGAATGATAAAACACCCATTCTGTCTGAATAGCTATGATGGTCAGGGTCACTTCAAGCCTGGTAGAGCTGTTTTTCCTTTTTGAAAGAATATTATTGGTGATATAATTTTGCCATTTGAAATGCCTAATACTAACACGGATGAAATGGTGACATTCATCCCAGGTTGATTGCCCAATTCAAACCACCACTCTTCATAGACTTTTTACTTTTACTCTATCTACTTTTGAATAAGGTAATATCATTTCAACAAATTCTTAACTTTATTGCATTCATTACTCTCATTTGTAACAGTCTCATTACAAAAACAGGTTTTATAAAATGTAGACAACCTACTAAAATATTCCAAATTTTGTCCATAATATTGAAGACAGCAAGAAAAAAAAAGAGAAAATGTACAGATCAAATGGCATGCTTGATGGCTTTTATAAAAAGCTAAGGGGCTTTGAGGGTTATAAGAAGCCAAGTCCTGTGACCCACTTAAGCCTAAGGACCACTGTAATTTGATTGGTATAAAAAGAAGTGAAGCAGCTAATTTATGGAAAGTACATTATATGATGGACAAAGAAGGATGACAGTTTTAATCAATGGAGTAGCAAGGTTTTTTCTTAAAAAACCTGTGTTTTGTTTAAAGCAAAAACTTGAAAGAAACCAAATGGGGAGTTCACAACTTTATTTCCCAAACTATAGAATATTTTCCATATTCAGTTTGGATGTACTTTTAAGTTCAGACGCCTGTCTTTTGTTTGTATTATGAATACTCTCCTCATCAAAGAAGAGATTAAAAAATATGAAAAAATAAAAATGCTTAATTAATTTTGACAGCAATTGCCTTAATATGAACTGTTAAACACACTTGGAAGACTCTCAGCAATGAAAGCTAGAGGAGGGCTGCTAACAGTGCCTATATCTGAAATCTAAATTTCAATTATCTGCTGTATTTACAACACCATGCTTTACGATGTGCCAGAAGGGATGGCTTAGTGGTCTAAGCATCTGGTTTTCAATTGCCATATTCCCTGAATTGCACAATTTGATTTATTAGGGGCTGGATATGCAGATGAGTCACACCCACCCCTGTGGGCTTCATCATCCAGTGGTGAATTGACAGAGGTGGTGGAGCAGGGGGCTGGCCCTAAATCTTTGCTTCTCTTATAACTGCATTAGACCCTATGTTGACTGGAGATTAATTTCTCTCTCCATTCTTTCAGGAGTGCCTCCAAAGGTTTCCCCCCATTTCCTCCACCACTGTCATGAAACGTATAAAGTAGCAAGGGATTAATTACTTTAAAACCATAACAAAAATATCTAATAACCAAAATACTGTCACAGTAACTACAGTTTTCAAATCATATGCACTGGGAAAAAAATTGACAGAGAAGCAACTGAAACCATGCAGAACTAGGTGTGAATGGATGCCTTTGGACTTAGGAAATACAAAGAGACCTTTGTAATTGCTCCCACATAAGCCACATGTTTACTCCCTTTCATATTCTATGTGCATCTTCATGGAAAATAAAGAGGCCACATGAGATCCCATTTAGAATGCTCCTGTCATATAAATATGTCTGCACTATATGGCTTTCCAAAGAGGTGCACTTCAATACCCATTTTGTAAAGTGTATTATTTCTGTAATATTTACTGTCACCTGGGGGAAAAACCAGTAGGGCTTGTTGAAGGCTTCACTAAAATAACAAATTAAGTGAGATTAGAAATGCCATAATTAATTAAGCCAGCTCTCCTTCACTTGAAAGGCTGGAAACTATACTGAGTGGTAGTAAACTGCACCTACTAATAAAGCTATGCAACTAATAAAGCAGTATGTTCTTGCTAGCAACAGCATCACCACAAGTTCTTGAAGGCATTAAACTTGACCTTTTATTGTTTCCCAGCACTCTCCCAAGGTTCCTTTCTGCAATGAACAATTCTGAGCACATTTTAAAGCTTACTTTGGAAGATACAGCCTTATATAATGTATCAGAATGATAATAATTTGCACCAGTGCAACCCAGTCATTCATAAATATGATAAAATAATGAAAAATATATTGTTATATTTCATTCCTCAAATGAATACAAAAATTAAATACCTTCAAATATAATTAAAATGTAAATATATACTGAATATAAAAATAGCACTAAAGGTTTTAGGGCCAATAATTTGATGGAAAATACCTAAATTAATTTAAATAATGCTAACTTTAAGATAAAAAGTACAAAGAAGGTGAAAACCCCAATGGTTATTGTTTAAAATACATAAATGTCAAGGAAAAGCAATGAATGATAATGTATACATTTCTTGTTTAAAGGAAAAAATCATATCATGGATAATTTATAATTTAATATGAAAGAATGCTTTATAATGGCAACAATTTTTACATAAAAATAAACTCAATTTTTAATTAAAAGTATTTTGTTTGAACAAGGGTCTATTCTTTTTAAGAAAAAAGTTCTAAAGATTTTCCATGTTTTAAAATGAAATAATGAAACACGGAGATTCTCAAACTAAAAAAAATAAAACCAGTGATCACTGAATGTCTCTTACCTTTAGCTAAGAGTCATATCTAAATATGACAACATTGAAAGGCAGCAAGATACATTAGTAGGTACTAACTTAAAAAAACTTGTACTACTATGTTAATATCAGACAAAAGGCTGTCAATAAAATATTACTAGGGAATTAAAAGGTCATTAATTACATAAAGAAAAAAGAACAATCCAGAGAAAGATATAATAAATTCCAACCTACGCACCTAACAACGTAGCCTCCTAATATAAAAGAGGGATACAATTATAAGGAGATTGACAAATCCAGCATCATAATGGAGACTTTGATGTACTCTCAATAACTGCCAGCTACTACAGACTAAAGGATATCAGGTATTTAAGCAGAACAGCTAGAAACTTCGGTATAATCTTCAAATGAACATAGAAAGTGGCATCTAATAATGTTTTAAAGCAAAGGCATACATGAAACATATTAGGAAAGGAATATATAGAGAAAAAGTTTATTATTTATTCTTATAAGGAAAGGAACATATAGAGAAAAAATATGACCATATACTATGACATAAAACAACCTGAATAGACACTAAAGAGCCCATAAATACACATCTTACATCTTGTTCTCTGACCACAGTGCAATTAAGATCAATAACAAAAAGAAACCTAAAAACGAGCAAAAACCTCACCACTGCACATTAGGAAACTTTATAGGAAGTATGTTACCTAAACAACATACATAACAGAGAAAGTCACAATAAAAATTTAGAAATATGTAGAAATGTATAAGAAATTACATAACAACATTTTAAAAATTAAATGTTTATTTTAAAAGAGAACGATTGCAATAGGTGATAAAAACATCAAATGAAAGAGTGATGGTGAATTATATAAAGGAAGGATTGGGTGGCTATCATCTGAACCCTGTGCAGCAATAAGACATGTTCCTTACAAAGGGATTCAAATAAGTAGTAAGCTGAAAGCACCACCTATGAAATATTCTTGCTGAAAGAATTATCCTGAATCCAATCAAGCCTCTAGATCTAACTACAGAAAATTCAGGGAATGAAGAAACAATTTAGATGATACCATAAGGCAGCAATCTGCTAATTCCAGGATTGTTTTCTATATATAAAAATCTGTTTTTTCACTAACTTCTAAGAAATTAAGATAAAAAACAGAAAAACAATTATACAATAAGAATGCAAAGAGTCATAATAGACAGAAGCAACGTGTAGGTGCATTTTAGATTCTATTGCACACAAACTGATCCTTAGATTTTTTTTGAGATATTTGAATAAGTTTTAATATGGACGAAGTATTAGGTGATATTTAAAGAATTATTCACTACTTTTGTCAGATGGAATGATGACACAGTGATTTTGTTTAAGAGTTTCTGTTAGGGATGTACACTGAAGTATTTATATATAAATGTCGTGATGTTGGGAAGCTGCTTTGCAGTATTAAAGTAAAATTATGAAATGGGAAAATAAACAAGATGGCAATGTGTTGCTCATTATGGAAACTAGCTGATGGGTACATGGAGGTTCATTATACTAATCTATTTTTGTGTATGTTTAAAATATTCAATCATAAAGATGTTAAAAAAGTTTCTAAACCATATAAAGTGTTGAAAACACTAAAAAATAAGCCTAAAGAAATGAAAAGAAGACATGAATATAAAAAACAAAGAAATAAAATAGAAAATACAGCCACATTTGAAATCATTAATTTTGAGGGCAAAAATTGTTTCCTCAAAAAATAAAACTAAAAAAAAAAAGAAGAATCAAACAGAAAAGTCAATGGTAAGACTGATAAACATAAAGAAATGAAAGAGAAGAGGCACAAATAATATTAAAATCAAAGAGAGGGTATGGTCAGGAAGATGTTTAGGTTTTTAAAACCATAATTGGCCCTTTTTCTACCATGATGTTGATTTTTATAAGTGAAATCAGCCTATTGTTCATCCTTTCATACCATTCTTACTTAGTTTAAGACTAGATGAATTTCCAAGTAACTTGGAAAGTTATTTCCTCTTTTTTTTTTTTCTATTCTTAAAACCACTTTTATGCTACTGAGGTTATGTATCTTTTGAAGATCTGGAAGAATATTACTATATAACAGTCTAGTACCTTTTCCTATTTTAAAAAAATTGATGTATTTTGGCTGGGCACAGTAGCTCACGCTTGTAATCCCAGCACTTTGCGAGGCCAAGATGGGCAGATCATGAGGTCAGGAGTTCGAGACCAACCTGGTCAGCATGGTGAAACCTTGTCTCTACTAAAAATACAAAAAATTAGCCAGGCATGGTAGTGTGCACCTGTAAGCCCAGCAACTTGGGAGGCTGAGGCAGGAGAATCACTTGAACCCAGTAGGCAGAGGTTGCAGTGAGCCGAGATCACGTCACTGCACTCCAGCCTGGGCGATAGAGCGAGACTGTGTCTCAAAAAAAAAAAAAAAAAAGATATATTTTAACTTTTGGTGTAATTTCCCTTAAGATTATGCTTCTAATTTAGGCCTTCGATTTTTCTTGGAAGAGGCTTAGTTAGTAATATGTTGCCCATTAAAGCAAAGGCTTCAAATTTATTGGCCTGAAGATATTTAATCTCCTCTAAAATAAATTATCTAAGCTTCCACTTGAAAAAACTAAAGAACAATTAAGCAGAATAAAACAGTATAAATAAGAATGGAAACCAATAAAATGGAACATGGACATGTAACAGGAAACAAAATCAATGAAATCAAACTGATTTTTTTTTGAAAAGATGAAAAAAATTAACAAACACCTAGGCAGAATGAGAGAGAAGACATAAATTACAGTAGTGTCCTCTTATCTGCAGTTTTGCTTTCTGCGTTATCAGTTTTCCAGGTTTGAAAACAGGTGAGTACAGCACAAGAAGATATTTAGAGAGAGACAGAGAGAGAAAGTGCACACAAGCATGAAAGCAAACACACATTTCCATGACTTTTATCACAGCACATTGCTATAATTGTTCTATTATTAGTGCTGTTAATCTTACTGTGCATAATTTATAAATTATGCTTTATCATAGGTGTGTGAGTATACTATAGAGTTCAGCCCTATCCGTGTTTCCAGGCATCTACTGGGGATCTTGGAATGTATTTCCTGTGGATAAAGGGGGACTACTGTATCAATGTCAAGAATGAAAAAGGGAACACCACTGCAGATTCCACAGACAATAATAGAAAAACAAAGGAATTCTATTATTTATGCCAATATATGACAATTTATATGAAATTGACATATTTCTTGAATGACCCAATTACCAGTAATGATCCAATAAGAAAGATGGAACTTAAAGGGCTCTATAGCAAATGAAGAAATCGAATATATATTTATAAACCTTGAAACAAAGATAACTCCAGGCCGAGATTACTACATCTCAAACAGTTGAGAAGGACATAACTAGTCCTACAAAGACTCTTTCAGAAATAATAAAGAAGAGAACACTTTCCCACACATTATATAAACTAGCATTACCATGAAACCTAGGCCATATAAATACATTACTCAATAAAGAAAGTCAGGGACCAGTAACACTCATAAATAGAGAGGCAAAAATATTTAATCAACTGTTAGTAAATTAAACATAGCAATATATACAAAAGATAATATTATCTTAATTAAATCGATTTTCACCAGGAATGCAAACTTGATTTAACATTCAAAAATTCACTAATGTAGTTTACCACATTATCAGACAAAAGAAACAGATGTAGAAAAAATATTTGACAAAATTTAACACTCTTCATGATTAAAAACTCTCAGCCTATTAGGAACAGAAGGAACCTTCTTCAACCTAACATAGGGAATCTATTAAAAAACTTAGAACTAATATCATATTTAATGGCAAAAATCTAAACATGTTCTACAAATATTGAGAAGATCGTCACCATTTCTATTTAGCAGTACAATATAGGTCTTAGCATCATAGCAAAAAAGGACAATGGCATAGACTAGAAAGTAATAAGTAAATCTATATTTTCTCCATAAAAAATAAATGGTGCTGAGTGAACTATGTATAAATATATTTTTAAAACACAAATGTAACTCTAGATTATGCCACAGAAAAAAATAAATTTCAGGTAGATTACAGATTTTAAAATAAATGACAAAAATAATAATACAACTTCATAAAAATAGGAAAGAATATGCTTATGATTTGGGAATAGGGAAAGATATATTAACAGAATATAAAAGCACCATCCATAAAGGAAAAGATTGATAGATTGAACTAGCTTAAAATAACTATTCACCCAGGTTACCAAATAGAGAGTGAAAAGAGCAAGACACAAGCAGATACCCACAACCCATGTTTTTGATAAAAGGGTTGTAACAGAGAATATATAAAGAAAATCTACACAGTGATGAGAGAGAGGAGGGAGATGGATGAAATCCAATACAATTATGGGCAAGAGACCTATCTATATAAGTCTTCATAAAATAAACATGGCCAACAAACATATGAAGAGGTGCTCAACCTCCTTAATCCTCAAGGAAACGAAAATTAAACCTAATTTTATACCATAAAATACCCATCAGAATAGCTAAAATGAAAAAGGCAAACAGTACCAATTATTGATGAGGATATGGAATTCCTACTGTCTCATACTGCTGGTGTGAGTATAATTTAGTATAGCTATTTGAAAACTGGTATTATACACACAGCCTTTAACTCACAGTGTACAGACTTAGCAACACATGTACATTTGTGCACCAAAGACAGTGCAAGATGCTCATAGAAGCATTATTAATAATCCCAAAGTGGATAATTCAAATATTCATCAAGAGTAGAATAAAACAGATTTTTAGATAAAAGTAACAATGGATTTATAAAAACATAGCGATGAATCAAGGAAAAGTTAATATAAGGAAGAGTATTCTTATTTTTTCCCTTTTCATATCAAGGAGTAAGAAATATTGGCCAGGGTGGGTAAATCAAGAAATAGATGTTTAAGTATATTATTTAAAGCTATAAAGGCAACAATTAATCTGAAGATAACCATTAAAGTGAAAATTATACATAACCGGAAGCAGAGCAGGAGAAAGGGAGATAGGAGGTAACCTAAATGTAAGAAATTACTCATTTACAATAGCAGGTAAACAAGAGTAGATATTCTGTAAAGTTGACAAATCAAGAAAAAGGGGAATACGTGTAAAATTTAATTTTAAGTTTTATCATAGCCACCTTAAAAATGTAAAAACAGCAACTGTGATCAGGGGTTGCCTGTGGGACTGAAACAAAATAGGAGCCAGGGAGGCTGAGTTTTCATTTTACTTTTTTATGATTTGAGTTTTGAGCATGTGGATATATTAATTCTATAATAAAAATACTAGTTTAAATGTACACAGATAAAAGGCTCTCAGCAAGAACCTGAAAAGTTCTAATTCTATACCATAGCTCACCAACTTGAACTTACTGGAAAATGGTTGATTTCTGGGTAGTAAAGTATGAGTACAGAAAATCTCTTAGAATCTTTAAATAAATATAAACTATATGGTATCTGCCTGTGATTTTATAATTCATGGAGAATTAAACTCTTAAGCACATTAATTTTTACGTTAGCATAATCTTATTAAATGTTTTTTGGTTAAGATATAAATTTATGGTTTATATTATCAGCACACATTATTTATGTATACTTAGAATAATATATTACTAATTTCTAAAACTTATTCTCAGGAGGTGCTATAATCTCCCTCAAGATTTGTGTGCCCTCCAAAATTCATGTTGAAACTGAATCCCCAATGCAACAGTATTAAGAAGTGTGGCCTTTGGGAGGTGATCAGGTCTTGAGTGATCTGCCCTCATGAATGGCTTAATGCCTTATAAAAGGGCTGGAGGGAATTGGCGAAGCCTTTTTTGTCCCTTTTGCTCTTTTTGCCCTTCTGCCTTCTGTCATGTAAGGATACAGCAACAGGGTGCCATACTGAAAACAGAGAGAATCCCTTACCAGACACCAAATCTGCTGGTGCCTTATCTTAGACTTCCTGCCTCTAGCAATGTGAGAAACGAATTTCTGTTCTTTATAAATTACCTAGTCTCGGGTATTTTGCTATGTATAGCAGCACAAACAGACTAAGACACAAGGTAATAATAACATTGGATTAGCTTTTTGAGATAAAGTAATTTATTTAAATCATGGTTATCTTTTAAAACACATCATGTAAGAACAGATCTATGCAATGTATTGAACCTACTTGTTCTGGTCGTTATTGCTGCATAGCAAATCATCAGGCAACTCAGTGGTATAAAGCAATATGTATTCTGGTTTACATATTCACATCTCATAGAGTTTGTGGGTCAGGGATTCAGGAAAGGCTAAGCTGGGCAGCCCTCGCTTGGGGTCTCTCACAAGGCTGCAGTCAGATGTAGAGTCGGCTGCTGCCAAGGCTCCACAGGTCTGGGCATCCATGACGGCTCACTTACGTGGCTGGCCATTGATGCGAGCTGGAAGCTGGGAGATCTGCCATGGCTGCCAACTAGATTGCCTACACATGGCCTTTCTAGCAAAGTGGACTCAGAGAAATGGACTTTCTTACATGGCATCTGGCTTGTCCCAGAGCAAATGCCCAAGGGAATCAGATGGAAGCCACAGGTATAGCCTTTTCTGAACTAGTCTCAGAAGTCACACAATGTCTGCTGCACGCTATGATTTTCAATTAAGTCACTGGGCCAGTCCAGATTCAAGAAGAGAGGACATTAGACCTCAGCTCTTCACTGAAACAGTGTCAAATATTTTATTAACATGTTTGACAATCTCCACACTTACCCTATGGATTAAAAAAATTACATGAATTTAAGCAAAATACTACAAGTTTAAATTAATGAAGTCACATTTACTTTAAATTTCTATCTTGATAGAATACTTATGTGAACCCTAATGGATTAAGTAGCATTCATTAAGAGACAGAATTACTCAGGAAAAAAAGTGGGTCTTTGGTCTATCTTTAGAAAAGAAATACTCTCACCTGAAAACATAAAAGGAAAACCATACAATTAATAAAAATTATGAAGAATGATGCTGCGATAGCCATTGAGTGAACCTACAATACTAAATTGCTCTGTCACATCTAATAAAAGGAACAAAGCTAAATTATAAATACCCATTCAGAGTTTTGAATGCCTTAACTTGCTAACTAAAATTCTCAAGGCTCCTAATTAGCTCAGGTTAAACATTTAACCACACAAAAGCACCTTTTCATAAATAAACTATATCTCACTCTTAATTACATAAATCACCTTTTTGGAAAGCCATGCATGTTATACAGACATAAACTGACTCTCTGGGATTAAAATCACAATGAAGTCATTCTTAATTATTAAGTCAAAAACCAAAGGGCAGCATTTTAATAATTAGGTAAGTTTAATTTGTGACAAATGCAAATAACTACTTTCCATTAAAAGAGACATTGAAATGATTATGTGTTCTATTCCTTTATAAACTTCCCCACCTCAACACAAAAATTCCTATGGCCAACTCTCTTTTGTTGTTTAAATAGGAAAGTAAGGAGCTATGAAGTGATTAGTAGCAACACAGGTATTCAACTGAACAGTCTCTTTTAAATAAGTGCTATTTCTTAATGCTCATGTGTTCTATAATCAAAAAAATCCCCAAGGATATATATATATATCCCAGACGTCCCTATTCTGTTATCTCTCAGGCATCTCTCTCACCTATTCTCTAAGAAATCATTGCATAGGTTTAAATTTCCTTGGAATCATATAATATTTCATTAAAAATAAGATTTGGAGGGGTACAGAAGGCTCTGCATTTTTGGCTTCTTCAAGTAACAGAGATCACTCTCAGAACTACAGAATGCATGAACTTCACGGCTTTCTCTAAAATCAAGCACGCATGCATCAAGAGAAACTGCCAGGCAAATACTGAGAGTGTTCTGCAAAAGGGTATGACTGAATTGTTACTTATCTTTTATTCTAGACCCAAGTTCTTAAAAACAGAAAAGAAACAGAAAATTCGCCTTGAGCCATGAAACTTGAGAACTCAAAGGGAAGTTTTCTGACACTCTCAACTGATGAATAAAACTGATAAAAGCAAAACAAAACCAAGCAAAGTTCTGTAATTTGTTCAAGGCTCTAAAGGAAGCCAAGTCCCTGATCTTTCAGGCCTTTTCAAGTACCTGTGGCTTTTGACATTTCTTAGAAATGACAATACTCCTCCCTCCCTCCCTCTCTACTCACCTGACAATCTAAATCTTGAGAGAGATATATATATTTGTTTATATCTATATATAGACAAAGATAATGAAGCAAACGATGTGTGATTGGTGGACCGGATTCAGGGGCAACTTTGTTGCTATTAATGAGTTGTGACGCAGTGAGTATTTCTCACAATGTCTTCTATGGGATGTTAGTGGATGGTGCTTCCAAAATGATCCTGCAGTCAAATAAATTTAGGAAATAGTAGTTTACTCAGAATATTTAATTTGCTATATTGTGAACTCATGGAGGGAATATAGTATGTAGCATTTCCAGATCTTAATGAAACACAGATTATCTAGAGCAGTGGTCCCCAATCTTTTTGGCACCAGGGACCAGTTTCATGGAAGGGGGTGGGGGAAATGGGGTAATGGTTTTGGGATGAAATGGTTCCACCTCTGATCATCAGGCATTAGTTAGATTCTCGTAAGGAGCGTACAACCTAGATCCACAGTTCACAATAGGATCCACACTTCCATGAGAACCTAATGCTGCCACTGATGTGACAGGAGCCTGAGCGCAGGCAGTGCTTTCTTGCCTACTGCTTACCTCCTGCTGTGCAGCCTGGCTCCTAACAGGCCATGGACCAGTACTAGTCCATGGCTGGGGGCTGATGATCCCCAATCTAGAGAGCTAGAAATCTGTGGAACAAACTTTGAGAAGCCCTAAACTATATACATTGAACCTGAAGTATGTTAACATTTAAGATAACATTTATTGAAATGATATGGAACTCAATCTGCAGTCTCCTCAGATGTGATGCTAAATGTGGAAAGGGTAATTAGCATAACAAGAGACAAGTTATTATCCAGAAGTTTTAGACATCCTTGAAGTCACCAGCCAGATTAATGGGATTGTTTGAAGCATTGGTGACCAATACTTTTGACTGACTTTAGTTATTTTCTTAGCTGCATCAATCTAGTTATATAAGAATTACCCAGTTGAGACTATAGTTAACCAGACAGCTTTAAACCTGCACTGTGAATCTAAACCTGCACTTCAGAACTTTACAAAGCAATTACAAACAGAACCACTCTGCATCATGAAGTTAGGTAAAACTGAAAGTTTAAAGAAAAGAAAGTTCTCATAAGACACAGGATACTGCACGAATTTAATTACTATGATGTTCACTGTTAATTATAAAATAGTTGTAATTTATCATATAAAATATATAATTTCATAGCTTTAAATAATTACAAGCAGTGGTTCATTTTTGTTGTGGGATATTGTACTAATATTTATTTTTGATGAATATTAGTTTTATCAGTTTGAACATTACCATCATGTTTAAAATTTGATTCCTACTTTGAATGGTACAATACAAAGCAAAAGTATGTGTTTATGAAAAAAGTTTAACCATAGAGATCAAGGAAAATGTTATTTTTGGAGTGTCTTGTATATTTTCATGATTGTATCAGAAAAAATGTCTATCAAAAATTCTTTTTTTTTTTTTTTTGTTAGAATGGCAAAAATTCTTATAAAGGTAAGGCAGCTATGGTCAACATCTTTTAAACTATTTCTTATGAAGAAATAAGAAGTATAGAAATAATTTTGCAACCTAAAAAAGAGGTAAAATTTCTTGTCTTCTTGAAGACAAGTTGAATTTTAAACTCCCATAGGCATATATATATTTCTTAATATATGATCTTGGATTTTCCTTTTCTTTTTTGAGGGTGGATTAAAATGTTATTGAGCTAAGTTGTACTTTCTATATATTAATTGTAAACATAATTTTCATACGGGAGAATTTAATCATTGTATGCAATAATTCCTATCTTCACCATGAGCAATGAAAAGAAATCTACAAATAAGTAACCAAAGTTTACTAGTACAAAACTTCTAAATTTAAGGAAGAAAACATTATAAGATAAAAATGCATTGTCTAACTTTCGGGAAGCTCTCAAACATTCCTTCACTGTGAAATCTGATGTGAAATACCTATAGGTCTGGAAGGGATGGTCTCATTACAATACATTATGTACAATCCTCCATTTAAAGCCATTTCAAATTGTAAGTAGTAATGTTTTTAAAAGGTCATCCTATATGGTTCTCTTTATTCCAGTAATAATGAAAACATTATTTATTAATGAGTTTGATTTATAAAATTGTACCCATTGCAATTTTTGCCTCTGGGCACTACAACAAACTTAAAAATATTCAGTGAGCTACAGAACACTTAACAATTATAATTTGGAAACAATACACCAACAATGCAATTTAAACTGATATTGGATCATTTAATTATATTTTGATGTAGAATAACATTTGTCTAAATGACCTAGGAAAATATGGAGTCTTGGAAGATTGTTATTATTAAGGATTAAATTGGAAAGCTGGCAGCTTGTTTTTTGTTTTCTTTTGAGCGCCTGTGAAATAGAAGGGGAATCTGGGTCATTGGGTGCTGCCATTTACAGACTAAAGAAAAGCCACACTCTCAACATTTGTAAATTTTGCGATGCACAATGATCGAGAACATTGTACTATGCCACAGCTGCTTCCAAGTTTTAATAAACCTCTTTGATACATCAGACAGCCATGATTACTAAGAGCTCACCTGATCACAGCATTTTCACTAAGAATGACATAGAGGGCAGAGCAACTAAGTCAGTAGTACCATTTTCTATGAAGATAAGTTGTTGTTCATTCTGAATGCAACAGGCAATAGATGACATACGATAGTTTTTCTGAAGTCGTTCCATAAACTACTATTAAGTTCTCCTTTCAAACCCATCAAGGTAGAATTAGATGATTCCTTTACCAATTAGCAACTTTTAAAAGTTCAAATGAGTGGAAAATCATTGATATATGCAAATATATTACATAAGATATATAATTCTTAGCATAAAAGTTAATGAGACAATAGTCTTTTCAAAAGTTTTTTGTAATTAATGTCTTTGTTTTTATTCAAATAGACAATTTGAAGATTAGCAAAATTATTTCAGAAAGTGCTATATGAATCAAGCATTTTGACACAAATATTCTCAATACAATCTGAACTTATAAATGAGAAGCTCTAGGAATGAATGGATCCAACTAGAAAAAGATACATTTAAATAAAAGAAGCAATGGATATTTAAAATAAGCTTTTAAAATGTCCACTAAGATTAGTCATACAACAGCCTTACCATTTGTCTAATGGGACTGAAGTGCATTTTGTAGAGATCCTGTTAATAAGATAAAGAGGAATATGTGTGGGCTAGGTTGTTCACATGTATGTATATCACAAGAATCAGCCCTACAGCTTCAATTTGTTGTTTATAAGCAGTGAAACTACAAAACACTGGGGATCATTGTTTATATTCCTTATTTGGAAATGTTTCAGGTTTTATATTCAACACATCTTTCCAATAATAGCTACAGATGTCATACATGTGCCTAGGGCTTTTTAATGGTTTCCTGTTCTAACGCCTGGTGTGAATTGAACAAAATATGGACAATCCTTGCCCTTTTAGGGAAAGGGGGAAAAAAGCAACAAAGAAACATAATCAGGTCTAAAAACAAGTTTATCCTACTTTGTACAAAGAAAACAGAAAGAGTCTGGGGAAGATAAACTAATTTCTACCAGTTTCTGCCTACCACATATACACTAACTCAATTTAGATTGATTTGATAATGTCTACAGACTTACTTTCAAGGTTACTATATACATTTGGACTTTTTTTCCCGAAAAAATAGCATGAGATGAAATGTTGTCTAGTTCCATTTAATTTTATTTCAGTTTTATCTTGGTTTCTTACTTCAAAGCAAATAAGACAAGTTTTTCGACATCTTTTCAAAATTTACCACAGCAGGACACCACCAGAACCAATCTTCTTTATATAGAATAACACAACTTTAAGCAAAGGGATGGTGATTTTTAAAACACACCCTGATTTACAGGAAAACTGCTGTTTACACAAGAGGGGAATAAAATAGCTTTATTTTACATTTACATTTTTTAAGTGGCCCACTTTAATTCACACAAATAACCATTTATTCAGCTCTAGGGTAATAGAAAGGTAATTGGAATAGTAACCAAAAAACAAAATCTTAGTTCTTTATTTTCAACTAACTGGCTTTTTGCTAATAATGTTTGTATTAAATTTCATGGATACCGTTTAAATGTTTAAAAGATATATATTAAAATTTATGAAGATAGGACTTAGGAAAATCACTTAATCCCTCTGAAATTTAATTTCTGCAGTTACTGTATATCATATACTGAGCAAATTGAAGAAAAACAGGACATTTCTATCCTTAAGGAGCTAATGGTTTGACTCTCATACATAAAATTTTAATTCTAATCTATCTCATTGCATGTTGGTTTTTAAAAGTTGGTATCGTCGCTTTTACTAAATAGAATTAGTATAACTAAACTAAGAAGTATGGCCATAGCAAGTAGTGCAAATTATTTTTTAAACAGTAAATGAATGCAGTTACAGAGAAGGATATTATTTTCTTCCTCATTATTTTCAATTTTTCTATTTAAAATAAGTTTTACCAAGAAAATGTTATTTAGACCTTAAAATATCCAGATTATACTGTACCATAGTTGTGAACCACTGATATGAAATAAAATTTAATTGTCTCCACCTATACTTTAATCCTCAGCTGGGTGCCGTAGGTCATGCCTGTAATCCCTGCGCTTTGGGGAGGCCACGGTGGGTAGATCACCCAAGGTCAGGAGTTTGAGACTAGCCTGGCCAACGTGGTGAAACCCCGTCTCTACCAAAAATGTAAAAATTAGCCAGGCGTGGTGGCGCACGCCTGTAATCCCAGCTACTTGGGAGGCTGAGGCAGGAGAATCGCTTGAACCCAGGGGGGCAGAAGTTGCAGTGAGCCAAGAGTGCGCCATTGCACTCACTCCAGCCTGGGGGACAAGAATGAAACTCTGTCTCAAAGAAGAAAAAAAAAAAAAAAGGACCTGAATTATTTTAATTATGAAGTCCAAATACAAGTTTATAAGAATGTAAGCAGTCTTTTAATGTGGAATTTTTGATCATATTATTTAATGCCTATGATTTATTAATGACAGGAATACCATCGTCAAACTATATCTTATTTCTTTACAACAAGATGAATTAAAAGTGTGATGTTTACTATTATGTGAGACTACATATATTTTTAAGAAGAAATACAAATAAGAACTCATAATTTATAGCTTTTAAAAAAAAGCTAATTCACAGAAAACATGAGTCACACAAGCACAAAAATTGCTCAAACAAGTGGCTAAATCTGCTTAAAATGTAATGACCAGTGTTTTGCATTTTTTGTTTTTTTTAAGATAAAATTTGGATCTATAGACAGCAATGTGAGAGTACCAACAATTAGAGAGAGTGTGTAAAAGTGGCAGTTATGTTTAGGAAGACAGAAATTCTGGATAACAATAATTTATTTTAAAAATTACTATGTGTGTATCTCTGTATACACACACACATACGTGATACACTACAAAGTGAAAAGATTCTTATTTCAAATGACTTTACATGTTAATGCTTTGATGGTACATCTTTTGTTGTCTGTACTAACAGCAGTGCTGTTATTTAAAAACATTTACATTGTAGAATAAATCAAATCCATACTTACATTAAAGTTAATAGCACTCAAGACTCTCAAGGTGAAAGAGAAGCAATTAGAAAATCAAAGAAATTAAACTCAGTGATAAAACAATTATAGACATTGATTTCAACTCTGGATTTTAAGTGTATATATTCACATATTTTCCCTAAGTCTGGCCAGAACATGATACAGAAGTAATTTGTTCTCAGGAACAAGATGCACACCTAGGACCGGAGTTTGGTTTCTAGGACCATTCTCTACAGATCTTTGGCGAGAAGAATGGCGGCAAGTGTGGGGCAATGAAGGTATATAGTGATCTTGGGAAATCTTGCTGTTCCATAAAGGAAGGAAACTTGTAAGAATTAATACAATCATGTCAAGAACCCAGAAGCTAGTCTGAAGGAGCTTCTACTCAGCAAAGCTGAGACATCAGAAAGAAAGATCATGGGTGATTTGCACACACTGTATTTATGAAAGGCTGAGTCCACAGTGATAAGAAAGAAGCCAAAGAAAAATCTTCTGTCATCATTTGACACTTCCAAGAAACAAATTTACTTTGAAAACTGGCCATTTAAAACCCCAAATTAAGTGGTTTTTTTTTTTACATTAACAGTATGCACTTTATTTCCAGGTAATCAAATAGCCCCAGTTATAGAAAGCTGTGGAAAGCTCTACATTATAAAAGAGTGCGAGCAAATGTAGAAGAAATGAAATAGTTAAAAACTGTTACACTGCAAAACTTAATGAAATTAGTATTTCAGCATAAAATTGTTAGTTATAAAAATATTGACAGTAACTGGACGTAGTGACAAAGTTAGTTCACAAATGATTACCTATTGTTTCAAGTAGAACATATTGATGCTTGCAATGGATGGATGAGTTTGTCACCACCTTAACCCAATAATCAAATTTAGGTTACTAATGGCGAAAAACAAAACAAAACTTATTATGTATCTTTTGATCTTATACATAAGAAGTATTGCTATATATCACCTATGATATAGTATTGCTAAAATGTTTAACTTACATTTAAGCAAGGCTTTAGTACGACTTTCAGCTAACAGAACCTACAGGGACAAGAGGAACAATTCAAACAACTTTACAGGGAAGCAATTAAATTCATGCAAAATGACCTGCTCAGAGACAACTGGTTGGTTTTCTGCAAGTCAATGTCATGAACAAAGATTATAGAGATGTAAAAGACATAGCAACTAGATGCAGTGTTTAGTCTTAGATTAAATCCTGATTTAAAAAAACAGCTGGAGAACTGGGGAAATTCTAATGTGGATTAAGTATTGATATTAAAAACTGCTAATTTCATGGGGCACGATAGTGTTATATTTACAATATTAAAAATACTTATTGTTTTAGATACATATTTAAGTTTTAGGGGTTGTATGTCATAGCTTCTGTCTTGCAAGTAGGGTCCTTTTGCAGACCACTCACTAAGCAACAGGGCTGAGAATGATTTCACAATCACATAGCAAATGGGTTAAGGAACAGGCTTGGAGAAATTTAAGCCAGGAGACAGGAAGAAGAGAAGGTATAGGTTCCTAGTGACCCCAAGGAAGGCTGAGCAGAGACCAGGGTGTTCTGCTAAACATGCCAAGGGTGGGGTATCACAGGACATAGGCCACACAAACTGTTACTCTTACTTTTCATAGGATGAGCATAAGAGTAGCCTTGATAGTGGGGGATTAAACAAGAATCTTGACATGAGGCAGTGTAGAGTGTAGATACTAGCTCTTTACTGAGGTGCTCTACAAAGGCCAGCTGCCTCACACCTGGAAATCTTTGGGACGGTGGAAATTTACTATGCCTGCTGCTGGTGCCAGGGAGCCACTGGTCCCTTGAAGCTGAGTTCAAGTGCGGCTTCTTCTACTTAGGGTGAAGGGTGAGGGCTCTGGTCCTAGCTAGCTTATTTTTCAGACAACCCAGGGTAAGACCACAGAGTTGTATCAGTCAATTCTGCTTGTTGTATCACAGTAAGTATAATCTACTTCAAATTTCTGTGTTATGAAATAAAATATATATATGCTAAAATTTATGAATAATGAGCAAAGAATACAAGTAACATTTGTAGATTTGAAACAAAGAGAAAAAAGGTGGGGAAAACCTGTCACTTCAATGGTGGTCAGAAATAAAACCAAACAGATCAGTAATTACAATACATTTAAATAGATTAGACTAATCTATTTAAATACATAGATTATCAGACTGGATTTTTAAATACAATCTATCTATATGCCCCTTATAACAGACATGCCTATGGTAAAACCACACTGAGAAGTTTAAAATAAAAGGATAGAAAAATGCACCAGAAAAAAATCTAACCAAAACAAACAAGTGGTTGCAAATGTATCAGGCAAAATAGGATTTAATGAAAAATTACTAATATGGATAGAGAACTGTAGACAACTAAAAACAGCCTCAGCACACTTAAGATAAAACCTCAGAAAATGAAAAGCAGAATTTGACAAATATATAGCCACACTAGGAAATTTTAGTACATTTCTATTAGAAACTGGCAGATAGAGTAAAAGAAAAAAAAAAGGTAGGTATATCGAATATTTGAAGAACAAAATGAACAAGCTTCAGGTAAATATAGCAAAAAGTAGGAGACATGTTTTCATGTTAACTACATGTTGAATGTTTACAAAAGTTAATCATACACTAGATCACAAAATATCACCACAAATTTCAAGAAATCAGCATTATATGAATCTCTTGATCTGTATACAATGCAATTAAATTAGCAATGGGTACAGAGTCATATGTTCAAAAAATTTAAAATATACTACTAAATAATTCATACGGTAAAGGGGAAGTCAACAGAAATCAAAGCATTTAGAAATGAAAGGCAAATGAAAATATTGTGCATCAAAAATTAGCGGATGCAGCTATAGTAGTAGCTGTACTTTGATTAGAAACAAACATGTTTCAGTGCATTCATGTAAAACAAGAAAATACAAATAAATGAGTTAAGCATACAAGAAGCTAGGAAAAGGTAAAAAAAAAAATAACTTCATTCCTTGTCTATTCTTAGGCTACTTAAAACTAAAATAAAGGAAATAAAAGCAAAAGTTAATAAACTGGAAAAGAATGAAAGAATAGAGGGTATTAACTAAATCAAAAGCTGTTTCCTTAAAAACAATTTTTTAAACTAATAGTATAGACAAATGTCTACTAAGATTAACCAAAGAGAAAAAAATTAAAAACAGAATATGTACAAATTAGCAATATTGGGGTTAGGTGGAGAACATAACTACACATAAAGTGTAGATTACTTTGAAATCTTAAGACTATGACAATACATTTGAAAATACTACAAATAAATTTCTGGACATTTTAAAAATTGGCAACACACAAAAATTCATCTAGACAAAACAGAAAATCTGAGTAAGTCATCTTCTCCTATACCCTGCCCCATCCCCAAACAGAGAAACAACACATACGCACAGTCCCAGACTGAACAGGTGTTCATAGAAAATATAATTCCAATGCTAAACACAAATTGCTTCAGATAATGGGAGAAAACCCAATCAAGTTTCCCTACACATTTTGTGAGGCTTATGTAGGGCATGTAAAGCATGAACCTTAATTCTTTAACTAAACAGGGACAATGCAAGAAATAAAAGTACAGAACTATCTCAGTTATGTGGATGATAATGTCACAAGTGAAATATTTACAAACTGAATTCAGCAATATATAAAACAGAATGCATCATGGCCAAAGGTGTTTGATAAATGGCCATAGAAATGAAAGGAAGGCTGAGTATTAGAAAATGTATTCATGGAATTACGCTGCTTTCAGTGATAAAAGAAAAAATAGCATCATCTAAATAAACACAGAAATAGCATTTCATAAACAAAATTTATTATTTTAAATGGCACTGAAATAACTGATTTCTCATGCCAAATATTAAAATAAAAATAGACCCACACACATACCACTTAAAAAATTTATAGGTAAATTAAAGGCTTAAATTCCAACTTAAAACATTGGAAAATATTGTAATTCATTTTAGAAATTTTCTTTAAACATATACACTATAATAATAAAAGAAAATTGATAAGCATAAACACTGAAATTTAAAATTTATCTGTAACACAAATTAAAATTAAAGAAACAATTATAGGCTGGGTATCGTGGCTCACACCTGAAATCCCAGAGCTTTGGAAGGCCAAGACAGGAGGATGGTTTGAGGCCAGGAGTTTGAGGCCAGCCTATGCAACCTAGTGAAACCTCTATCTCTACAAAAAAATTTTTTTAATTAGCCAGGTATGGTGACATGCTCATGTAGTCTTAGCTACTGAGGAGCTGAGGCAGGACTGCTTGGACCCAGGAATTTGAGTTTCTTACAGTGAGCTAGGATTGCAGCATTGCACTCCAGTCTGAGTGACAGAGTGAGACCCTTTCTCTGAAAAACAAAAACCAATTATGGACTGGGGAAAATATTTCCAATGCCTATAAACCAAAAAAAAAAAAAAAAAAAAAAAAAAAAAGCCTAGTAAAAGTGGATGCAAGATGCAAAGAAATATTTGGTGACCAAAAAATAGAGTGTTAGTTTCTACTGAGATAATTTCATCTTACTTCCCTTTCCATTAGATCCCCCAGTTTTGTTCAGGTGCACAACCTCCCTTCCCCTCACGCACTGCATGGGATTCAGGGGAAGCTGACTCCAAGTCAGTTTCAACTCATCCAGGGTATTTTTGGACACTTGAAAGACATGAGGAAAAACTGAAAATAAAAGTTACTTAGATGATGATTTAAATAACTTGATGATTTAAATGATGATTTAAGTCATCAGTTATTTAGATGATTTAGAATTAGAAGAAAAACCGTCAAAATGAAAAAAAGCAGAAAAAACATGTTTCCTCATTACAAATTCACAGATTGAGAATTAAGATCACTGATTTCCAAATGTGTTACACCAGTTTATATTCCTATCAGTTTCTACACAAGAGCTCCCATTTTAACTATACCACCTTTCTCATTTTACAGATGAAGAAACTGTCCCTGGTAAGTTAAGTAACTTCTCCAAGACCACACAATTCAGTCTCTAAGCTTACACCAGAAGGCAGGTCTCCCAGTTGTCAGACTACAGTATACACTTGCTGCTAATGAACACATTGTATTTTCAACTCAGGTAGAAATAACAAGAATTATCTGTGGTTTAGAGTTTTCTGCTTCATTGGTTCCTCCATCAGTACAGCCTTCCATGAGAGTGAGAATATTGCTAACTTTCAGGAAAAAGGCACCTATCTTAACTGTATTACCAGAAGGAATTTCTCTTCGTGTTTGATGTTAACCATGCGACCAAATGTCAGGACTCCTGCCAGACAAAGAAATGCTAAAAGGGTGGGTTGTTCTGTTCAACACAATCAGATTAAGATTAGTACCTCAGCCAAATTGAGAGCAGAAAATATGCACAGGGTCTGTCGGGGGAAACTTTATCTGTTCTTACGTTTGGTGAATGTCAGTTAGTTACATGAGATACATTAACTTTCCCAGACCCGAGAGAGTCTGTGTCCTAAATTATTCCTTCTGTGTCCTATATGAGACAAAATTCCCTTACCTATGGAGATGGTAAGGTTTTGTTGTTTTTGTGGTTGTTTTGTCTACCTGTTCAATGAGGCTGATAATAATAAGTATGAATAAATGGGGGCCGTCTTAGTCCATTTTGTGTTCCTATAATGGAGTATCTGAGATTGGGTAATTTATTAAAATATTTATTTAGCATGTGGTTCTGCAGGCTGCAAAGTTCATGGGCATGGCCTGGCTTCTGGCAAGGGCTTCTGTGCTGCATCACAACATGGCAGGGAAGGTTAAAGCAGAAGCAAAAAATGCAAAGAGAGAGAAAATCCATTGGGCATCCTGGCTTTATAACTACCCACTCTCTTGGGAACTAATCCATTCTTGCAGGAACTAATCTATTCTCACCAGAGAGAGAACTCAGTTACTACCACCAGAACAGCACCAAGCCACTCTTGAGGAATCCACCCCCATGATTCAAACACCTCCCACTAGGCCCCACTTCCCAACACGGCTACACTGGGGACCAAATTTCAACATGACTTTTGATGGTAACAAACAAACTAGAACCAAACCATAGCACAGAATGAAATAAAAAATACGTATTTAGGGTTTAAATTATATATTGGGTCAGGATATCTTTATGGCCATGTGAAATTATTCTATGGAAACAAAAAGCTTTTTTTGTGT